>NW_003315959.1:0-164789 GCF_000001405.40 Homo sapiens | reverse complement strand
TTAAAAATGTATAAGCCAAATAGTCCACAATTGTGTGTGCAAGTGCTAGACTCAGTGGAACAGCCATCTTCAGTCATCTGTCTCTCTCTGCGGGGGACAAAGAGCACTGATATTTAGGATGATGACCCTGTGGCCTTACAAATCATGATCAAAGCTGAAATATTCAATTATATTCATTAAAGCAGGAAGGTGAACTTGGGCATTTGAATTTGAATGTATTCCAACTCTGCCTGCTGCCCACTTTCGAAACAATTAGAGCCAGTTTATAGATTTGGACTGTTCAAGATACACGAGGAAGGCAGAGGAGTAGGAGATTTTCAGGCCCTGGAGTTAAACGGACATCACCTTTTGACGATAAAATACCATGAGACAAAATTTTGGGTTCTTTCCACTAAGGCAAAAATATTTAATAAATTCCTTTTTGGTAATATAAAGCACGTACTTTCATCAGTTATTTAAAAAATACTGCAATGAAATTTATTTTACTTTTTTAAAATTTTAATTTTTGTTGGTACATAGTGGGTACATATACTTATCGGGTACATGAGATACTTTGATACAGGCATGCAATGCATAATAATCACATCATGGTAAATGGGGTATCCATCCCCTCAAGCATTTATCCTTTTGTTACAAACAATACAATTATACTCTCTAGTTATTTTTAAATGTACAATTAAATTATTGTTGACTATAGTCACCCTGTTGTTCTATCAAATACTAGATCTTATTCATTCTTTCTATTTTTTTGTATCGATTAGCCATCCATCTCCACCCTGCCACCCACTACCCTTCCCAGCCTCTGGTAACAATCCTATTCTGTATCTCCATGAGTTCAATTATTTTGATTTTTAACTTCCAGAAATAAGTGAGAACATGTAAAGTCTGTCTTTTTGTTGCCTAGCTTATTTCACTTATCATAATGACCTCCAGTTCTATCTATATTGTCTGCAGAGAAATTTAAACAAAAATCCATTAATAATTACTTCCGGTAAGGTAACATCAGCCTTGAAGTCGTCCAAGATTTAAACTGGAACTTTTTGTCTTCACTCTTCAGGCTAGAGAGTCATCCTTTAAACAACCCTTTTTTTTTTTTTTTTTTTTTTGACGGAGTCCCACTCTGTCACCCAGGCTGGAGTACAGTGGTGCCATCTCAGTTCACTGCAAGCTTCGCCTCCTGGGTTCATGCCATTCTCCTGCCTCAGCCTCTGGAGTAGCTGGGACTACAGGTGCCCGCCACCACGCCCGGCTAATTTTTTGTATTTTTAGTAGAGACGGGGTTTTCACTTTATTAGCCAGGATGGTCTTGATCTCCTGACCTCTTGATCTGCCCACCTCAGCCTCCTATCCGCCCACCTTGGCCACCCTCAGAGTAAATGTAAAGTCCACCACGCCCAGCCTAAACAACCTTTAAGAATCTCTTTTCCTTCTATTCCAAGCCCAGACCTCCCTCTCTGCATGCCTGGCCCTCTGCCTGGCATGCTGATGGCACTCTGCCTTCACTGTCTTCCCTCTCTGACCCATCTTGTATGCGCCTGTGCTTGTTCACTGATACACAGATGACACCCTAGTTGATATTCCCAGCCCTCACCTCTCCCCTGATTCTACTCAACATCTCCAAAGAGATGTTTAAGAGGCATTTTCAGCTCAACACAGTACAAAGTTACCTACTGATTTTATACCCCAAAAGCCATTTTCTGTCTTCCCCAATATCTCCATTACTTGCCAGCTCTGCCAGTTCTCCCTCCCTGGTGATTCTGGCGCCTCTGCTCCTGTCTTTGCCACTGCTCTTGGGAAGCCTTTCCCACCTGGGCTATAGCTACAGCATCTTAATTGGCCTCCCTGATTCTCATCTCGCTCTCCTCTAATTCAGCCCCCACCATTTCCAGAATGACCTTTCAAAAATGCAGAGTCCTTTTTAAAATCTGCAGCAGTGTTCCCTCAGTGTAAGGATCAGGTCTCAAATCTTCAGCACCTCCTGTTTGGACTCAGATTTCCTCTCCAGTCTTCTCACTTGAATCTTATCTCAATGTCAATTCTGGACTTCCAGTTGCCTATTTTAGAAAATTCTCTTGATTCTACCTGCAAAATCTATCCAGATTCTGATCACCTGTGACTACCTTTACCTCCAATTTCTGGCATTATCATCTATCACTTGGATTGAGTAAAAGCCTCCTGTTTGGTCCCAAGTCTGCCTCTGGTTCCTTCATAGTGTTCACAGAGCCATGGCCAGAGTGATCTTATTAATACCTTAGATGTGTTCCTCTCCTGCTCGGACGCCTCTGGCAGCTCCCTCACCCTCAGAGTAAATCTAAAGTCCTTGTAGGGGCCTCATAGCCCTTTCATCTGGTCTCTGGCTTCCTCCTTATTTCCTGCCAGTCTCCCCCCACTCATGGTGCTCCAGCCACACTGACTGCCTTTCTTTCCTTGCATCCAGATCCTATCTGCCTCAAGCGGGAATTCCCTGCCCTGTTCTCCAGTCTTGGCACATACTGTTCTCCCTGGAGTCCTTCCCACCTGCCCAGAGCTTCCTCTACTTTCAAGCTCACGTAAACTCACTTTCCCCATGAAGACTCCCTTGACATCCAGTGATTTTCCTTTGTCTCCAAACGCCAGTGTTCTATTTTGAGACTTGTGCTCATCTCCTCACTGGTAGGAGGCTGCCTGGTTTCTCTTCCTGATGTGATACAGCTGGCTGTGTGCCCACCAGCCAATGGGATGATCACTTTCCTGAAGCCAAGGACCATTTAGTTTGTTTTGATATCCTGAAGAGCCTCAGTATGGTCCACCTGTACATAAGCCTCTTAAGGATTCTGTTAGTTTGCTTTTGCCTCTGCATCAAGCTAGAAAAAGGGCACAGGGGAATGGAGAAACATGGTTCTTACTCTGGTTCTGACATCACCCTCAATGAAGAGGAGTGAATCACTGATACATCCAACCACATGGGTGAATCTCAAATGCATTACGTTAGGTGAAAGAAGAGGCACCCCAAAAATACATAGAGTATGATTCCACTGATATGACACGATGGGAAAGGCAAACTGGAGCAGTGGAGAATGCACCAGTGGTTGCCAGAGGCTGACAGTGAGGGAGGGTTGACTACAAAGGAATAGCAAGAATGAATTTTTTTGTGGAAGGTGATAGAAATATTCTGTATCAATTGTGATGCTGGGTCTGTGACACTATGCATTTGTCAACATTCATAAAACTGTATACCAAGAACAGTAAATTTTGTTTCTAAAATAAATTTAGAAAACACAAAAAAGCAGAACACTGCCTAACACATCTAAGTGTTTAATAAATGTTTCTGTTACCAAGAAAAAATAACTCTGCCTTGCAGGAAATAAAAAATTACCAATGGCAAAGACTTATTTACTGATGGAGTATTATCTGAAAAACAAATAAGATTGGTTGCAAAAAGATTTCCTAGTTTGTAAAATATCCAGTTGTACTTATGTTTCATAGGGATCACATAGTATCTTTAAAGTACTAAAAGAAAAAATTGTGAAAACATGGTATCTAAGTGCTAATTTCTTTAAATAATCTAAAATAAAACAATGCGCTTTAGTTTTAAAAAGTTGTGGTGTCCAAAGAAATACATTTTCATTGTTATTAAGCGTATGCAAAAAATTATAAACACAGACATACACAAACACAAATAGTTGTTTTCTTATTTTCCAAAGATAAAACTGTAGGGAATTAATATTGAGTCCTGCTTGTGCGAGGCACTGTTGTATTCATTAGATCTTATAATAATCCCATGAGGGAAGCAGTATTATCCCCATTGTATAGATGGCAACTATGAGACCCAGGGAGGTGAAGTGAGTTAAGAAAGGTTACAGGGTTGGTAGCATCTGCTCCAAGATGTAATCCAGGTCTGCCTGACTCTGCGGATGCATTTCCCACAGACACACACTCCTTCTGGCTGTACAAATGGCAGGCAGCCAACAGCTCCAGCTCACAAAGACAAGGCTCCCGCCTGAACAGCATGCAGCTCTCTCAAGTCTGGCCTCTGCTGAGAACCTCTGTCCCGCTGCCGGACCTGCAACCCCAAGGCTCCTGCCCTGTCAGTGGCTTCAGTGTGGTCACTGTGGTGAGGAAAATCTGTCCCTTTGCGAAGACACTGAGGCAGGGCCTGGATCTAAGCCGTATCTTCCTCAGCTGCAGTGCCAGCACAAAAGCAAACAGCCTCACAGGGGGCCATTCTGTCAGGAAGATAAATGCTGTCTCATTGATTCCCTCACCGAGGAGCTTGTCTGAAATGGCAGCTGCTAGACAGAAACGCTTTGAAGATTGAACCCAGGAGTCCAGTTCCAGCCTCTCTTTCAGTCTTGACTAGCAATTCAAACTCGCGTGACAAATTTAAGTCCATGTCACTGCCTAGGATAGAAAGTAAACTCGGTGAATGACACAACTTGCCAGGGATATCCTTAGACCGTTGCCACGTTGCCAGTACCAGGACAGATCCTACTGGCTACTATCTGCTGTAGGATTTACAGCCAGTCCCATCCCAGAATTTGCATGGGTCACAATGTCCTTCAAGGGCAAAGGGAAGTCCTGAAAAGGCAATGAAGTTCGAAAAAGGAGAGTACAGAGCGTCTCACTTGTCAGGACACGGGGAAGGGAGAAGGGTCCCTCGGAGTCCTGTGTATGAGTGTGTGACTGATACACACACTCATGAATGTGCATCGGGGTCCTATGTATGAATGTGTGAGTGATACATACACTCATGAATGTGCATCGGGGTCCTATGGATGAATGTGTGAGTGATACATACGCTCATGAATGTGCGTTGGGATCCTATGTATGAATGTGTGAGTGATACATACACTCATGAATGTGCATCAGGGTCCTATGGATGAATGTGAATGATACATATGCTCATGAATGTGGGTTGGGATCCTATGTATGAGTCTGTGAGTGATACACACACTCATGAATGTGCGTCGGGATCCTATGGATAAATGTGTGAGTGATACACACACTCATAAATGTGCATCGGGGTCCTTTGTATGAATGTGTGAGTAATACATACACTCATGAATGTGCATCGGGGTCCTCTGTATGAGTGTGTGAATGGTACATATACTCATGAGTGTGCATCAGGGCTTTTGTTTTTGTTGTACCAGCTAACAGCATCACACCAGCTATCCCGGTGTCACTGTCTTGTATCAACTGCTGTTCACATCAGAGGGCGAGGACTAAGGCAACTACCCCCAATTCCCTGTGTGCCAAGGAAGTGGCCTAATGTCGTGGGTGAGATGGAGTATGAGCAACAGCAGATGATCACATCCAGGGGTGCACCCCGCCCCTGGCATTTCCACCTGGCCCCTCAGTGGAAGAGGTTAGTGCAGTGAGAGATTTCTCCACGAGGTGGCGCTCATAGCTTAGCTTTATTTTTACTTTCATTGATGGGAAAATTTGCCCTGCTACCGCCGCCGGAGAACGCACATGACTTATGCTTTCTAATTCATGTGCAGATTTCGTGTACTGTCATGTTTGGGGTTCTATTGAATTTTGTACAATTACAACTTATTCTTTCCCTCTGGGACCTTGGCAAGCAACACTATACAAGGATAGGCATTATAACCTGTCGGGTGGGGGGGCGGTGGGGGGGTCATTATTTTATCACACACACAGAAACACACACACATATACACACTTGCTTTAGGGATAAATTCTGCCATTTTATTTTTTCCTGGTCCTCATCGTGGTCAGAATGGTGTGACCAGCTGATACCCTTTGTTTACTAGAACCCAGTACAGCAACACCAGTTCAGTATTCATGTCCATTACATGGTGGACAAAGCTTGGATTGGCAGCCTCAAAAAATGCTCACCCACCCTGAGGCTTAGCGATCAAAGCTCAGAGGAAAACAGCTGGTGGCAGGCTTGTCTTTAAAGGAGGATATCAGAACTGGTATGTGTGTGAGATGCTGTGGCTGGGTTTTACATGGTGGCTGTCTCTGAAGAAGCTACCTGTAGGGCTGAGCTGACTGAGGTGCTTGGAAGCCTTATAGTAATACTACTGGATATGATCCAGTTATTAGGGTTTAAAATAACAGATGTACAATATCATCCCTTTCCTCAAGGAAAAATCCAGTCTACTAGAGACGATAAGAAATTTAGTCAATCCAGTAACACAAAAGGTAGTTTCTGCTAAGTACATCATGTCAACAAATTTGCTCTGAGAGTTCATAGGAAAACCTATCCCTGTGTCTTGGAATACAACAGTGCCTCGCACAAGCAGAACTCAATATTAATTCCCTACAGCTGGGGAAGCGTTCAGGGAAGGATAGACCTAGGTCAGGCTTTGACAGGATTAGGAATCAGGCAGGGCAGGAGAGGGCATGACCGGGGAAGTGGGAAGGGAATTCTGTAATAGATCATCTATGTAGACCTGGTAAACCTCGGATAGCTGGAGCTCAATTAATTGGCACCCTCAGTAATAGGTGGTTCCTTTAAAAATTCTATTTCATGAAAAGACAAAATCACAGTAAGATGACAGTTCCTTACAGTATAGAAGGATGATGTCCCCGAAGCCCAGCAGAATGATTAATCTTTAAGGCAGTATTTATTTTTATTCTTATTAAATACTGAGAGTGACCTCATTCATTCAACACATTTTTTTTTTTTTATTATACTTTAAGTTCTAGGGTACGTGTGCACAATGTGCAGGTTTGTTACATAGATATACATGTGCCATGTTTGTTTGCTGCACCCATCAACTCGTCATTTACATTAGGTATATCTCCTAATGCTATCCCTCCCCCAGCCCCCCACCCCCCAACAGGCCCCAGTGTGTGATGTTCCCTGCCCTGTGTCCATGCATTCAGCACATGTTTATGCAAATATTTATGAAAATATTTATGGAGTATTTTCATTGTGCTGAATGTTTTGTGGGAAACTAAGATGTATCAGGCAGGATTGTCTTCTCTGGAGACTTTGTGGTAGGAGAAAAGACAATAAATGTGAATATCACGATAATGTCAGAGAAAAGACAAAGACTCTACGGTAAGTACGGAAAAGTATAGAGCAAGACAAAAATTATTTCAGCTGAGGGTTCAGTGGTAGGATGTATTCATATAAAGATAAAAGGAGAGGAAGAGATTTTTGCATTAAGAAATGGCAAGCACAAAATAAAGAAGTCTGCAAGAAGAGACTGAATGGGGAACACAGAGTAGGAGAGCAGACATAGTGAGCAAGGCTGCTGCAAGCTTAGGTGAGAGCCATATGTCAGGCAGCTTTGCATGGCAGGTTAAAGAGTTTCAGTTCAGCTGGGCGCGGTGGCTCACGCCTGTAATCCCAGCACTTTGGGAGGCCGAGGCGGGCGGATCACGAGGTCAGGAGATTGGAGATTGCAACCATCCTGGCTAACACGGTGAAACCCCGTGTCTACTAAAAAATACAAAAAATTAGCCAGGCGAGGTGGTGGGTGTCTGTAGTCCCTGCTACTCGGGAGGCTGAGGCAGGAGAATGGCGTGAACTCGGGAGGCGGAGCTTGCGGTGAGCCGAGATCCCGCCACTGCCCGCCAGCCTGGGCGACAGAGCGACTCTGTCTCAAAAAAAAAAAAAAAAAAAAGAGTTTGAGTTCAGTAGGATTCTACATACTTTTGAGTAGACAGATAAGCTGATCTTTAGAAAGACCTGTGTTTCAAAAGATTAGCACATAATGCCAACATATAAGATGGACTGACGGGGGGCAGAGAAAGGAGATAGAGGATTTGGTTAAAAGGCTATCCTATAGGCCCCGGAATGAATAGGACTTTATAAACTGACATTTATTGTTATCATTTTGGAACATATCAAAATCCGTTCCTCAAAATTAAAAAAAATCTAAGCATATATAATTCACCAGATCTGAAAAGAATGTGTTAAGGGTTACTAAAAGTGACTGAGAGCAGGAAGAAATGATGCAAGAAGTGAAGAGCAGAGCCATGGAGAAGTGGGGGTAGGGGGGCAGCTATTTCAGAATGTACCAGCATTTCCTGAAGGTGAGAGATATGCCCAGGAGAGCAGATACTAGATTCTTTGTTTACGACACTGGATGTGGGAACAGGTTTAAGCAGAGATGCTGGCAGAAGCTGTCACAGAATGAATTTGGTAGAGGAAAGCAGGGGACAGGGACCTCATCCAGAATTGTACCTTCAACAAGGTGGCTATAGTTAATGACGATATAGTCTCAAAAACTGCAGAGAGAGTGGATAAGTGTTGTCACCACAACAATGATAACTATGTGAGGTAATAAATTTGTTAGCTAGATGTAAGCATTCCAGAATGTCTGTATACCTCAAAACATTAATGTTGTACATGATGCTTACACTGTCAATTTTTGAAACACATTAAAACTTAAATTTAAAAAATGAAAAAAATTGTACCTATGAGCCACATTTGCAAGAATTTATCTTTTCTGCAGCATCACAGATTGCATTGTAAATATCTGCTAGTCAGCCCCTCTCCCATAAAGAACACTCCTCCCCAGATTAAAAGGGCTTCCTGCAAATAGCCAGCCCAGGGATTCAATGATAACCAAGAAAAATGAGACCAAGTACTAAATAAACATAAAGGTACTTTAAGAATAAATGAAGCAAAAGAGCATCAAAACTGCTAACAAAGGATGAATATTGACTGGAAAAAAATGTTTCCATAGAGTAGAAAAACATTGTGACCAAATATTTTACTGCACATTGAAAGAAAAACATACACAAAGTATCACCTCTACAAATAAAGAATTAAAAAAAAAAGTAAGAATGCAAGAAAGAGATGGCAAGATAATATGAGAACACAAAGTATGAGGGGTCACATCTTAGAAAGTAGAAAAATAGCCATCAAAGAAACGAAAACAAAATTGTAAGAAACACAGTGGATGACATGTTTCATGAAAAACACAATAAAGGACATAGAGGAAGAAATGAGAGAAATTGTAAAAATAAATGTAATTTTTAAAAATATGTAGAGGCATATATATTTTGCTGTAATTAGAAAAGAATGGCAAAGGAGATTCAACATTGGCATAATTGGTGTCTCTAAGATGAAAATTTTTAAAAATGGAAAAGTGAAAAAAAAATTTAAGGCCGGGTGCAGTGGCTCATGCCCATAATCCCAGCACTTTGGGAGGCAAAGGTGGGCTGATCACCTGAGGTTGGGAGTTCAAGACCAGTCTGACCAAAATGGAGAAACCCCATCTCTACTAAAAAAGAAAAAAATACAAAATTAGCCAGGCATTGTGGTCCATGCCTGTAATCCCAGCTACTTGGGAGGCTGAGGCAGGAGAATCGCTTGAACCCAGGAGGCGGAGGTTGCAGTGAGCCAAGATTGTGCCGTTGCACTCCAGCTTGGGTAACAAGAGTGGAACTCCGTCTCAAAAAAAAAAATGTAATTTAATAAAATTTTATCTAAATAAAAATGACTTAAAGGCTGGGTGTGGTGGCTCACGCCTGTAATCCCAGCACTTTGGGAGGCCGAAGCAGGTCAATCACTTGAGGTCAGGAGTTTGAGACCAGTCTGGTCAAAAACATGGTGAAACCTTGTCTCTACTAAAAATTCAAAAATTAGCCTGGCATGGTGTTAGGTGCCTGTAGTCCCAGCTACTTGGGAGGCCGAGGCAGGAAAATTGCTTGAAGCTGGGAGGCAGAGGTTGCAGTGAGCTGAGATCACGCCACTGCACTCCAGCTTGGGCAACAGAGTGAGATTACATTAAAAAAAAAAAAAAATGACTTAAATAGCTATGTCAAAAGTTCACACCACATGATAGAAAACATAGACCTAGAATGATCAATACTGAAATATAACCAAGTAAATCTGTGAGGTGTAAATATTTTAAAACATTTTCAAAAGTTCGTATAAAGGAATTAGTCAGTTCTCAAATTCCTCTACAGCAGAATTTCATGTCAAAGTGTAACAGTGAAAATCTTAAAAAAAAAAAAGTCAAGGAGAGAAAATATGTTATGAATTTTCTATGCGGCAAAACTGTCCAAGTATACAAGCTATAGACTATTAAAAGGAAAACTTTAGGCAAATTAAATTTAACAGAGTTTAACTGAGCAGAGAACAAATTGAGAATCAGCCAATCCCTCTCCCCACAGCCAGAATAGATTCAGAATGACTCTGGCGTTGTCACTCGGCTAGAGAGGATTTATGGACAGAAAACAGAACCAAAGTGCTGAAATAGCTGGGATTGATTACAGCAGGCATTTGCCCTATTTGAACATAGTTTGAACAGTTGGTCATCCTTGATTGACCAAAACTCTGTTATTGGTACAAGAATGGATAGTCAGTTTACATATCCAGTTAGGTTACAGTTCACTATGTACGAAGAAACCTTTGGGCCAAACTTAAAACATGTAACAGGCAGCTTTAAGCTAAACTTAATTTAACAGTACAAAAATTATGAATATTCAGGAACTAAGGAAATGCAGTTTTTATGAGCCCTTTCTGATGAATCTTTTAGAGGATAAACTTATGTTAGCTGAGGGATAACTAGGAAGATTAAAACAAAAGGCAGGAAACATTGAATATATTTCACTCTAGAATTAACACTAATACAAACTTGGAGATTAGAGAAATGAATTCTAAGTCTCATGTGTTCAGACCATGTAGGAGTGCTATAACTAACAAACAATTGAAGGATGTTAGAAAGAAGATGAGTAGTAGAATAGTTTTGCTGACAGTTCCACTAAATATTAGGCAAAGGCCATTTTTTAAAATCGAAGGTATTAGGAGAATTGGCATACTTAAGTGTACAAAGATAAACATTAAGAAAGATAATATTGTTACCTAAAACATAGGTGGTCAGAGAAGAGGAAATGTGCTAATTTTATCATTGTTCAGAATAATAAATTAATATGTATGGTTTAAAGAAACAAAGAACAAAGGGGATTATGTACAATTATACATAACATTTTTCTATATCAGAATAAATATACCCAAAAATTCAAGCAAAAAAAATACTACACAATAAAAGAAAATCTCAGAAAAAAGAGAGAAAAAAAAACACAAAACTAGGCTGGGTGTAGTGGCTCACACCTATAATCCCAGCACTTTGGGAGGGCAAGGCAGGCGGATCACTTGAGGTCAGGAGTTCGAGACCAGCCTGGCCAACATGGTGAAACCCTGTCTCTACCAAAAATATAAAAAATTAGCTGGGTGTGGTGGTGCACTCCTGTAATCCCAACTACTCAGGAGGCTGAGGCAGGAGAATTGCTTGAACCAGGGAGGCAGAGGTGGCAGTGAGCCAATGTTGTGTCACTGCACTCCAGCCTGGGTGACAGAGCAAGACTCCTTCTCAAACAAAACAAAACACAACAAAAAACAAAACCAAAAAAACCCCATAAAACTAAATGGTAGATATAAGATGAACGTATTTCTTATATTAATTGATGAAGGGAACTTAACTCATTTCTCAGAAGAAGGAATTTCGAAGTGGATCAGAAAAACAAACCAAACTGTATGGTATATAGAAAACATAAGACAAAGTAATTCTGTAAAATTGAAAATTAGAGGTTTGAGTAAAGTTGTGCTAAAAAATGCAACAAAACAAAAAACAAAGCCAACCAACCAAACAAAATAAGATAAAAACTGACGAAACAAAATAAAACAAACAAGAAAAGAAACAAGAAAAAAAAGTAAACAAGCAAGAGTCTTAACATTAAAAATAGTAGAATTTAGGCAAAAATAAGGATTTAATATAACGAAAGGCAGTTTTATCCTATAGTGTGCACCTCATGAGTCTTTAATAATTATGCTTATCTACACATCAAATACCAATGGCACTCACGTTATAAAGTACAAATTACAAGAGATAAATAAAAAGGAAAGAAGAAACACAAGCACTAAGGGACTTTAATTCACCTCTTTCAATCTTTGATAGAGGAAGTGGAACATTGTGGGAAACAAAATAGTATGATTCACAGGTAGATAAGATGGATGTATCTCAAACTATACTTTGAAAATAGAGAACGCACATTTCTTCCATGTTTCTAGGGGATATTTAAAAAACTTAACTATAGAATAGGTCAATAGAGAAAAATCTCAATATGTTCCAGGAGGTAATGCAGACACAGTCATTTTTCACAATGTAATAAGAATAAAGCTTAACAACAAAATCAAATAATAAAATGTGCCTTCTAACTGGGATTTTTTAAAAGTTCTCTTATTCAACTTCTCCAGCAATAATGTCATATAATCAAAATATCATAATTTCTTAACAATAATTAATACACAGTGATTCAAACAACTTGACATGTAAAATATAGGCAAAGAAGTGAGGAAAAGAAAATTCACAGTTTTAAATATTTATATCAATAAGTATGCATGAATAAAATAAGTTAGATATCCAATTCAAAAAGTTAGTAAAACAGCAATAAACTACACTGAGGAAAAGCATAAAGAAGAAATTATTGTAAGTAAAATTGGAAATTAATCAATTGGAAAACTGAAAATCACAAACTTAAGCTACTTCCAAAAGCTGGCACTTTACAAAATAATAGAATAAATAAGGTAACAGGTAATCTAAACAAAGAGAAAAATATCTATTTCAGGAGAAGAGACAGGTAAGCAAAATATATAAAATAAGAAAATGAAAAAGGGAAATAACTACATAATTATAGAAAAATTTAAATCTACCTATGTTTTACCCAACTTCATGTAAATAATTTTGAAAATTTCATTTAAGTCAGTTATTTTCTAGGAAAAATAATTGATCAAAATTGACCCCAGAAGAGATAAAACTTATAATTTTGTTAATTTGAACAGAAGAAATAGGTAAACACACTAGATTCAGTTTTTCATATAGAGGAATTCAATCAAATCTTTAAAGAACATTTCAATTCTTCAAGAACAAAAATAAAAAAATCCATATTTTTAATGAAGTGAATAAACTATTGCTGTCAAAGCCTGATAAAGACTGTACTGAAAAGAAAGTTATAGAAAAATACCACATATGAAGATTAACTATCCCAAGTAAATCACAAATAAGCAGAATTCAGTACCTCATTAAAAGATTCATATATCTGAGGAAATAGATTTATTTTCTAGGAATGCAAGGTCCTCAGTATTAGAAAAATGAAATAATGTACCATTATAATTGACTGAAGGAGCAAAACAGACACTGAAAATGTTGATAACATTCAACAATTATTATTGCTCAAAACAGCAAAAAATATCAATTTTCAACGTAATAAAATATACCTATCTTAGCCCAAAGTCAACGGTATGTTTAATGAGGGAAATACTAGAGATAATTCCTCTGAAGTCAGAAACTAAACATGATTACATAATTACTAGGTAACATTAGTTACTGCTGGTATTCACCAACACAATTAGAAAAGAAATTAGAAAGCTAGAAACAAAAAATAAACCTATGAAAAGTTGGAGTTGATATGATGAATAATCTAAGGTAAGAAACAGAAATACGCAACAAAGAGTAAGAATATTCAATAAAATAGTGGAGTAAAAAAATAGCACACAGAAATTCATAGCTTTCTTTTCTTTTCTTTTTTTTTTCTTTTATTATTATACTTTAAGTTTTAGGGTACATGTGCACATTGTGCAGGTTAGTTACATATATATACATGTGACATGCTGGTGCACTGCACCCACTAACTCATCATCCAGCATTAGGTATATCTCCCAATGCTATCCCTCCCCCCTCCCCCCACCCCACAACAATCCCCAGAGTGTGATGTTCCCCTTCCTGTGTCCATGTGATCTCATTGTTCAATTCCCACCTATGAGTGAGAATATGCGGTGTTTGGTTTTTTGTTCTTGTGATAGTTTACTGAGAGTGATGATTTCCAATTTCATCCATGTCCCTACAAAGGACATGAACTCATCATTTTTTATGGCTGCATAGTATTCCATGGTGTATATGTGCCACATTTTCTTAATCCAGTCTATCACTGTTGGGCATTTGGGTTGGTTCCAAGTCTTTGATATTGTGAATAGTGCCGCAATAAACATACGTGTGCATGTGTCTTTATAGCAGCATGATTTATAATCCTTTGGGTATATACCCAGTAATGGGATGGCTGGGTCAAATGGTATTTCCAGTTCTAGATCCCTGAGGAATCGCCACACTGACTTCCACAATGGTTGAACTAGTTTACAGTCCCACCAACAGTGTAAAAGTGTTCCTATTTCTCCACATCCTCTCCAGCACCTGTTGTTTCCTGACTTTTTAATGATTGCCATTCTAACTGGTGTGAGATGGTATCTCATTGTGGTTTTGATTTGCATTTCTCTGATGGCCAGTGATGATGAGCATTTTTTCATGTGTTTTTTGGCTGCATAAATGTCTTCTTTTGAGAAGTGTCTGTTCATGTCCTTTGCCCACTTTTTGATGGGGTTGTTTGTTTTTTTCTTGTAAATTTGTTTGAGTTCATTGTAGATTCTGGATATTGGCCCTTTGTCAGATGAGTAGGTTGCAAAAATTTTCTCCCATTTTGTAGGTTGCCTGTTCACTCTGATGGTAGTTTCTTTTGCTGTGCAGAAGCTCTTTAGTTTAATTAGATCCCATTTGTCAATTTTGTCTTTTGTTGCCATTGCTTTTGGTGTTTTCGACATGAAGTCCTTGCCCATGCCTATGTCCTGAATGGTATTGCCTAGGTTTTCTTCTAGGGTTTTTATGGTTTTAGGTCTAACGTTTAAGTCTTTAATCCATCTTGAATTGATTTTTGTATAAGAAATTCATAGCTTTCATATACACAAACAACTTCTAGTTAGAACATATAATGGAAGAAATACTCCATTTACAAGAGTAACTATAAAGGGAAAATACTTATGAATAAAAATAATAAATGTGTACAATCTATAGGAAAAAAACTTTGCAGCAGTTCTAAAAGACATAAAGGAACAATGGAACAAATGGAAAGAAATTTGATAGTCTATTAATTATATTTGTGCTACTGGGCATAAAAAAGTTGAGCCTAAAATGTATAGTAAGGTAAGTATATTAAAATTAATTTCTTGTTCATGTAACAATCTGAGGCAGGTATCCATTGTAGGAGGGTGGTCATCCATGAGTGATTTATGGACCCAGACTCCTTCCATCTTGTTGATTTTCTATCTCCTAGAACTGCCTGGTTGTCCACCTCCAGATTGCAGATGGGAGAAAGAGAACATGGCACAGACACCCTCTTTGTGAATACCTTGGCCTGGAAGTGACACAATATATCTGTTCACCTTCCGCTGGTAAAAACTAGTCACATGACCCCACCTAGATAAAGGGTGGCTGGAAAATGTAGTCCATAGCTGGGCAGCTACTTTCCAGCAGCAACAGTGAAACTATTTTGGTGACTATCTTTGTCACACACATGTCCTTGTATAGGCAGAATCAATGTTATAACAATATCAATGATCTCATGTTAATTTTAAATGTAAAGTAGCTCAGCATTATGAATTGTTTACTGAAATAGACAAGACACTTTTAAAGCTCATATGGGAAACTGAAAAATAAGTATAGCTAGGGCTGGGTGCGGTTACTCTTGCCTGTAATCCTAGCACTTTGGGAAGCTGAGGTGGGTGAATTACCTGAGCTCAGGAGTTCAAGACCAGCTTGGGCAACCCCATCTGGTTTCAAAATGGTGAAATACTGTCTCTACTAGAAATTCAAAAAATTGACCAGATATAGTGGTGCACACCTGTATTTCCAGCTACTCAGGAGGCTGAGGCATGAGAATTGTTTGAATACCGGAGGCAGAAGTTGCTGGGAGCGGAGATGGCACCACTGACCTCCAGGCTGGGTGACAGAGTAAGACTCTGTCTCCAAAAAAAAAGTATAGCTGGAAAAATTTTGAAAAAAGAAGAAAAATGAGAGGAAAATAGCTTTGATATGCATGAAAATTTATTATTAAGCCACAATAATTATAATAGTGGGTTAACAGTGCATAAATTGATGAATAAACCAAAGGAAAATGATTGAAAACCTAGAAATAGTTTAAAATGAATATGAGCAAATTTAGAATACAATATTTCAGTATAATAAATGATATGTTTTGGCTGTGTTTCCACTCAAAACTCATCTTGAATTGCAGTTCCCATGATCCCCATGTGATATGGGAGGAACCCTGTGAGAGGTAATTGAATCGTGGAGGGGATTAGCCCCATGCTGTTCTTGTGATAGTGAGTGATGAGTTCTCAGGAGATCAGATAGTTTTGTAAGGGGCTTTCTCCCCCTTGGTCAGCACTTCTCTCTCCAGCTGCCATGTGAAGAAGGAAGTGTTTGTGTCCCGTACTGCCATGATTGTAAGTTTCCTGAGGCTTCCCTAGCCATGTGGAACTGTGAGTCAATTACCCAGTCTTTCCTTTCTAAATTACCCAGTCTCAGGTAGTTATTTATAGCAATGTGATAACAGATTAATACAATAAATCACTGGGGAAAATGATAGAATAGCAGAATAAACTCTGAACAGATTATAAATTTAAGGATAAGAAATGAAACCATAAAAATAAAAAGAAAAATTGTGGAAATATTTTTTAATCTTAGTTTTGGGAAGATCTTTCTGGTTGTAATTCAAAATTTGTGAAGTCATAAAAAATATTTGTCTAATTGAACCAAAAAAAAAATTAAAAGTGTTCTATATAGCACTTTTGGTCTTCTAGTACATTGTCTTTCATTTCGGGCCTAAACAAATGATTCAATTTAATTGCAGTAATAATAATGGAACATTTACAACCAAGTTAATGCATGAATAGGCAATACCAATTACATCAGAACTACCAGTTGGTTGACAGTTTAACCACTGATTGTAAAATCAAAGATGTAAAAAGCTTTTCAGATAGAAGTGTCAATATTAATGATATCTATAGTACAAAATATATACTTGTATTATTGAAAGTAGAGCAAGCGTTCTATGTACCAGTCTGAATCTAAGATAATTAATTTTTAATAATTAATTGAACATAATTTCAGTTCCAAAATGGTGTTGTAAACACAAGCTGGCTGCCACCACAGAAAACCAAAAACAAATATACAATGCCAAGATGATCACCAGCAATATCCCAGAACTCAAATATGAAAATGAGTCAGTTCCTGGGGCCATGGAGAAGTGAAAAAAACTCTGAGCAGATGGTAAAAGAATTGGATTTCCATATCTGCAAGACCCCTCCCCTACATCTGCCCAGCACCAAGCATGCAGAAAATTTCTTCTGACTCATGGTTTCTACACTGGAAAAAGTAAGATTGAGGTGGACAATCAGCTTCCCCACTATCTTGGGTTTACTGGCAGGAGACCTGTTTCTGCCTCAACACATGGGCAGCATCATGAGTGCCTGAAGGGAAAAATATCTCCGAGGACATCAAGAGAAAAAGGAGGAAGGTGAGACTTCCATCCAGCCCTGGAAACCCTGGTCCGTAACTCAGGCAAAAGAGACACCAAATCAGAGTGGCTGTTCAGCACCACCAGGCTGTAGGAAGTATGTTCCACAGGTCCCATGGACACAAATCCCTAACCAGCCTTCTCATACTGCTGCAATATGCCCTTTGGGACCTCCCACATTCTGGAGGAACAGCGCTCTGATTGTGTGCTAGAGCCAAGGCAAATCTGGGCTTAAAGTGCCATCTAATGCTGACAGTGACCTAGCAGAAAAAAAAAATTAAGAAATTCAACAGGTAAATTACTAAGAACCTCTAAGCAAACATATACAACACCCACCACCAACAACAAAAAGCAAGACAGAGAAGATAGTAATAAATAACTAACCTTTTAATGCAAATACATATATTTATCTCCACAAAAACAACAGCAGAAAACCATGACCTCCCTAGATGAACAAAGCAAAGAACCAGCATTGGACAGAAAGAAGATGGAAACTTGTGAGCTCTTTGACCTAGAATTCAAAATAGTACTTTTAAGAAAACTCAGTGAATTACACCATAACACAAAAAATCAATTCAGAAATTTATTGGAGAAATACAACAGAAATTGAAATAATAAAAAATATCAAATGGAAATCTTAGACTGAGAAATATGTTTGATAAACTAAAAAATTAATTAGAGGTTCTCAACAGCAGAATGGATCAATCAGAAGGAAGAATCAGTGAACTTGAAGACAGTCTATTTGACATTACAGTCAGAAGAGGAAAAGAAAAAAGAATGAAAAGGAATGAAGATTGCCTACGAGATATAGCAAATTATCTCCAAGGACCGAATCCAAAAACTATTGGTATTCAAGAGGGAGTTGAAAAAGACAAGAGGGTAGAAAGTTTATTCAAAGAAACAAAAACAGAAAACTTTTCAGAAATTAAGAAAGATATAAATATTCAGTTACAAGAAGGTTAGAGAACATCAAACAGATTTAATCTAATGAGACCACCCCAAGGCATATAATCAAATTCTCAAAGGTTGAGGAAAAAGGGGATCCTAAAAGAAGAAACAGAAAAGAAACAGATAATATATAAGGGAACTCCAATTCATCAGGCAACAATCTTCTCAACAGAAGCGATACAGGCCAGGAGGGAGTGGGATGGCAGTTTCAAAGTGCTAAAAGAAAAAAACTTGCCATCTAAGAATACTGTATTTAGCAAAGCTTGCCATCCAAGAATACTGTATTTAGCAAAGCTATCCTTCAAATATGAAAAAGAGATAAAGTTTTTTCAGATGAATGAAAGCTGAGAGAATTCACCACCACCAGATCTGACTTATAAGAAATGCTAAAGGGAGTTCTTAAGTCTGAAAAAAAATACTAATGTGAAAAAAGAAAATGTTTGAAGGTATAAAACCCACTGGTAAAATTAAGCACAAAGGTAACTCCATAATACTCCAATACTGTAGTTGTGGTATGCAATCCACTCATAACTTTGGTATGAAGCCTAAAAGACTAATCTATCAAAAACAATAACAGCAACAGCAACCTGGTGAGAGATGGGCAATATAAAAAGATGTAAATTGAGACAATGAAAGATCAAAATGTGGGGAGATGAAGTTAAAATATAAACTTTTGGTTTTTTCTTCATTTGTTTCTATTCTTTTTCAAGATTTAAAATTAGTTATCATCTCTTTGAAATAACTTGTTATATCTATAAGATTTTTTTTTAAATGCCAGAGTAGCTACAATGCAAAAATCTGCAGCAGATACACTAAAAACAAAAAAGTAATGAATTATAATATACTACCAGAGAAAATAATTTAACCAAAAAGGAAGACAGTAAGAAATAAAGAAAGGAAGAGAGGAGTTCCAAACAACCAGAAGACCAGCAATACAATGGCAATAGTAAGTCCTTACTTATCATTAATAACACTGAATATAACTGGACTCAATTCACCAATTAAAAGCCATAGAGTGGCTGAATAGATGAAGAAACAAGACTGAACTATATGTTGCCTACAAGAAACCAACTTCACCTATAAAGACACATAAGAACTGAAAGTAAGAGATAGAAAAGATATCCCATGCAAGTGAAAACTAAAAAAGAGCAGGAGTAGCTATGCTGATATCAGATAAAACAGACAAGTCTGAGACTGTAAAAAGAGATGATGAAAGTCATTCTATAATGATAAAAAGAACTCAGTTCAAAAAGAGGATATAACAATCATAAATAGCTATGCACCCAACACCAGAGCACCCAATTATATAAAGCAAACATTAATAGATCTAAAAGGAGAGTAGACTGCAATATAGTAATAATAGGGGACTTCAACACCCCATTCTCAGTAATGGGCAGATCATCTAGACAGAAATTCAGCAAAGAAACATCAGAGTTAGCATTTTACCTAACTGTTGCAAAATACATTCTTTTTATCAGCACATGGAACATTCTCCAGAAGACCATATTTCAGGCCACAAAATAAGTCTCAACAGATTCAAAAAAGCAGAAATCTTATCAACTATATTTTCTGAACACAATGGACTAAAATTAGAAACCAATAACTAGAAGAACCTCAGAAACAACATAACCACATACAAATTAGACAACATGTTTCTGAGCGACCAATGGGTCAATGAAGGAATTAAGAAGGAAACAAAAACTTCATTAAAACAATAAAAACAGGAAGACAACATACAAAAATCTATAGGATACAGCAAAAGCAGTATTTTTAGTAGAAGTTTATAGCAATAAATGCCTATATGAAAAAAGGAAAAAGACTTCAAATAAAAGACCTAATGATGCACTTCAAGGAATTAGAAAATCAAGAACAAAAATCAAACCCAAAGTTAGTAGAAGGAAAGAAATAATAAAAATTAGAGCATAAATAAATAAAATTGGAACTAAAAAAATACAGAAAATCAATGAACTGAAAAGTTGTTTTTTTAAAGATACACAAAATTGACAAACTTTTAGCTAGACTAAGAAAAAAAGAGAGAACATCCAAATAAATAAAATTAAATGAAAAAGGAGACATAGTGACTGAGAGCACAGAAATACAAAGAATTGGAGACTATTATGTACAACTATATTGTCAACAAATTGAAAAACCTAGAAGAAATGAATAAATTTCTGGAAACATACAACTTATCAAGATTGAACCATGAAGTGATAGAAACTTCGATAAAACAACAGTGAGTAATGAGATCAAAGCTGTAAGAAAAAGCCTACCATCGAAGAAAAGCCCAGGACCTGATAGCTTCACTGCTGAATTCCACCAAACATTTATTTATATTTATTTGTTGAGATGAAGTCTCACTCACTCTGTGACCCAGGCTGGAGTGCAGTGACATGATCTCAGCTCATTGCCACCTCCACCTCTCAGGTTCAAGAGATTCTCCTGTCTCAGCCTCCTGAACAGCTGAGATCACAGATGTGCACCACCATGCCTGGCTAATTTTTGAATTTTTAGTAGACATGGGTTTTTGCCATGTTGGCCAGGCTGGTCGCAAACTCCTGATCTCAAATAATCCACCTGCCTCAGCCTCCCAAAGTGCTGGGATTAACAAGTGTGAGCCACCATGCCCAGCCCTCTACCAAACCTTTAAAGAAGAACTAATACCAATTGTACTCAAACTCTTCAGCAAAACTGAAGAAAAGAGAATACTTCCAAACTCATTCTATAAGCCCAGAATTACCCCGATACCTAAACCAGACAAGGGCACAAGTGAAAAATAACACTACAGGCCATCATTACTGATGAACACAGATGAAAAAATCCTTAACAAAACACTAGCAAAGTGAATTCAACAACATTACAACATATTAAAAAGATCATTCACCATGATCAAGTGCGATTCATCCCAGGATGCAAGACTGGTTCAATGTATGCAAATTAATAAATATAATACATTGTATTATTAGAACCAAGAATAAAAGGCTTATGATCATTTCAATAGATACTGAAAAAGAATTAGGTAAAATTCAACATGGCTTTATGATAAAAACCTTCATCAAATATGTTAATATAAGGAGTTTAAACAACTCAACAGCAAAAAAGCAAACAAACAATTCAATTAAAAAGTGGACAAAGGACAGGAGTAGACATCTCTCAAGAAAAGACATACAAATGACTAACAGGTATATGAACAAATGCTCAACATCACTAATCATCAGAGAAATGCAGATCAGAAAACACTTATCAGAATATATTAATATAAGGAGCTCAAACAATAGCAAAAAAGCAAACAAACAATTAAATTAAAAAGTGGACAAAGGACATGAATAGACATCTCTCATAAAAAAGACGTACAAATGACCAACAGGTATGTAAAAAAATGCTCAACATCACTAAGCATCAGAGAAATGCAAATCAAAACAACAATGATATATCGTCTCACCCCAATTAGAATGGCTTTTATCAAAAAGATAGGGAGTAACAGCTGCTGGTAAGGATATGGAGAAAGGGGGACCCTTGTATACTGTTGGTGGGAAGGTTAATTAATACAGCCACTAAGGAAATCAGTATGAAGTTTCCTTTAAAAACTAAAACTAGAGCTACCATATATCCAGCTGGGTATATATCCAAAAGAAAGGAAATCCATATATCAAAGAGATATCTGTACTTCCATATTTATTGGAGTTGTATGTATAATAGCCAAAATATGAAATCAACCGTTGTGTCCATCATTGGATGAATGGATAATAAAAATGTGATATATATACAATGGAATATCATTCAGCCATGAAAAATGAAATCCTGTTATTTGCAGCAACATAGATGAAACTGGAGGTAATTGTATTAAGAGAAATAAGCCAGGCAAAGAAAAACAAAAACAAACATTATATGTTCTCATATGTGGGAACTAAAAAAGTGGATCTCATGAAGATGGAGAGTAGATTGGTGGCTACCAGAGGCTGGGAAGGGTAGAGGAAGAGAGGGATGAAGACAGGTTGATCAATGGGTATAAATATACACTTAGAAGAAATAAAACATAGTGTTTGATAGATCAGGTGGGTGACTGTAGTTAACATTAATCAATTGTACATTTCAAAATGGCTAGAAGAGAATAATTAGAAAGGATTAATATTTAAAGTGTTGGATATCCCAATTACCCTGATTTGTTTATTTGAAGGTATCAAATTATCACAAGTACTCTGAAAATATATATATTTCTTATATACCTATAAAAATAAAAAATAAAAAATTCATCATTGACAACATGATTATGGTCTCAAAGGATCATCATAATATTTTGTGTATCACTCACTGAAAGATTAATTATACTAACAGTCTTAAAATAATAGATCAGTAATAATCTTTGCTCTGTATTAAAATTTTCAGAACATTTGTTAAACATTTGCTAAACATTTACTAGATGTTATTATTTGTGTTTAGTAAAAAATAATGAGTGGAGTTCTGTTTTATTCACTATTTATATTCACACACACAGGCACATGTACATCCACATGCACTCTTCTGCATGTACACAACACTCTTTCTCAGTGTATTCCAGGGTGGGGAAAAATTAATGTCCACAGCAGGGAAATATTAAAAGCATATTCATGAGTCAGAATTCTGTTTTTAGTTCTATTGTGAAGGGTAATTGTTTGTTACTGTAAATAATAGCATGTGCCTTGGTTGAAGTTTTCAGCATGGGGCAATATTAACTGTGTATATCCCTCTGTGAAATGCAAGCTCTTTTGATTTACTTCTAAGTAAATCTAACACAATATCACTTAATATCAGGCATTGATTACTCACATAGGCACAGAAGACTTTTTTTCACCCAAAATAAACAACAAACATCAACAGATGTAGCACAGTGGTCCAAACATCAGGACAATCACAAGATAAGCTCATTAGGAAGTTTCCAGTCACTTTTTTTTTTCAAGATGAGTGATTGACCTCAAAATCAAATTCCAGGTGTTTTCTTATGCAGGCACAGAAAAACAAAAACAAACATTATATGTTCTCACTCATATGTGGGAACTAAAAAAAATCGAATTCCAGGTGTTTTCTTATGCCCTTCAGGATTACACATTTGATCCAAACCAGTCAATTCTTTAGAAATTTATTTTAGAGTAAACAACCTGTCATGGGCAGAATACCAAGTAATTCTGTTGAAACTAAAAGAACACTTTGCTTGGTCATTGAATAAATGTGTTAATTGCTCTTTTCTGCCATAGATTTTAGTCTAACTTTTGTCCTTCACTCTGGCATATCTGAAATGCTGCTTATAAATCTAAAGAACTAGAAATGTAGAGCTGATGGCTGTAATATTCAATTTACAGTACCTAATACTAACAACATAGGTCTTCCAGAAGTGGCTTATAAATATTGATTTTACAATGGAAACCTCCAGAAAGAACATAAAAATAATTCTACACACAATATTCTAGAGATTTTTTTAATGTGAGGACCCAAAGCAATCTACTCTGAGTGTGACTGATGTCCTCATTGCCCTTGTCTAGGAGCTGGTGGCCTCCTGGTCTGTTGCCACAGCCCGTTGCTAAACAGTTAAACCTATTGGCATGCGTGTCGTACCCCTGCCCAGCGGTCCCCTAAGCAAGCCACAAATCTTCCTTGCTCTGGATGACAGTTAATGAACTGTAAAAGTCTTGCACCAATATTTCTACTTCATCTGCAAGCTCGAAGAAGGCAAATTTGTTTTTCACCCTCGAAAAGAACCCGCTGTATTTCTCAGGCAGACAAAAATGATTTGTTTGTGTGGATCTCTTTTTAGTTAGGAGAATATCTTTGGGGCTTGGAAATTCGATTCAGAAAAAAACCACAAGCTTCTAATTATTTCAGGATGTTTTATGTGCCTGGATGTGTTTTATTACCCCAACTATATTGCAAGCTCTTCTAACTCTGTGACCTTGAGCAAGCCACTTAACCTCTCTGGGCTTATTTTCCCCTCTGTAACATGAGGATTACAATACCTGGTGTTATTACCTCACAAAATTCCTCAGAAAATCAAATGAGATGGTCACTATTATGCTTTCTTAAAGATCATTTAAAATGACTCGATTAAACATCATATTAATTCTCAAGAGCTTTAAATTACATTCATCATAACACAATTTATGTATATATATATGTGTGCGTATATATCTTTATGTGTATTTAGATATATATGATATATACATGTATTTAGATACATATATATTCCCTCACCCACTGAACAGGTTCTGTGATATATTGTTTTTACAGATTAAGCAAAATGAAATATAACTGAACATGAGAAAGCAACTGATTAGGAGCAAGTGTAACAATACATTTTAAGAAACATCTACTGCACATTCTGGGATAATTGCTTTAGGCATATCCCTAGTCATATTATTTGCTCAACTTTTGACTGGAGCCGCTTCATAAATTCTAATGTCCTTCTAAATTGTTGCCTCAGTTGTGTTCTGTTTAAGATTTACCAAAATGGTACCATTAGAAATGCTGCTAATGTATTATTCCTTTTCTCATTTATCCTTCTGTGATTTTAGAAAAAAAAAAATCTGTTCCTTTTAGTTTCTTCTCTCTTTTCCCAGCTGGCACCATCTCTTGTCTTAGGCAGCTGGGATGTGGAGCACAGTATTCCTGAACCAAGTGTTGAAGCTGATTGTTGATACATACTTCTCAGAGGCTGATCTTTCTGAGAATCCTACTAATTTCACTACAAAATTTATCAGAATAATTCCTGGGTCTCTTTTAAAGCAGATTTAGCTCCAACTTGTGCTGGAGAACTTCATCAGTGTAGTTTTTACAGGTTCTAATATCAGTCCAAATCACAACTTTCAGTTGTGGTATAACAGGTCCACCAGCAGAAGGCATTCTCTGCATCTACTGTAGAATCCAAAAGAGCTTCTTGTATGGCAGGATTGTCCCTTCCAGTTGCTGGGTCTGTGTCTTCAAAATGTTGATATTAATAAAGCTTTTGTCATTGTCTATCTCTTCTTTTGAAATTTCTTCATTCACTTTTTAAAAAATTCACCACAATGCATACTTTATACAGATTTGCTTAGTTTTTACTTAATGCCTTTTCTTGTTGTTCCAGGATCCCATCCAAGAGACCACATTCCATTAGTTGTTATGTCTCCTTAGGCCCCTCGAGACTGTGACATCTTCTTGGACATTCTTTATTTTTGATGACCTTGACAGTTTGAGGGATAGAGTACAGGTCAGGTATTTTGTAGAGACTGTCCCTCAATTTGGATTTTTCTAATTTTGTTCCTCATGATTAGGCTGGGGTTATAGGTTTTTGGGAGGAAGAGCACAGGGGTAATACAGTTAGCCTCATTATATTATCCTTCAGTATCTCACTAAATCATATCAAGGGTACATATGATTTGTTTGACTGAGCACTACTGACTTTGACCTTGATCACCTAGCCAAGGTATTGTTTGTCAGATTTCTCTATAGCAAATTACTGCCTGCTCCCCATTCACCTTTCCATATTGTACTTTTTGCAAGGAAATCAGTATAGATAGCTCACATTTTGGTCGGGGGGAGTTATGCTCCACATACTAGAGGTGGAGTATTCACATAAATCACTTGGAATTGTTCTTCACAGATTTGTCCCTTTTACTCCAATTATTTATTTTTAAAATCATCTATATCTGTATAGACTCATGGATATTTATTTTATAGTTTGGGTTATAATTTTATTTTGGCACTCAAATTGACCCAGAGTTGGCCATTGGGAACTCTTATAGTTGTCTCCTATTGATGTATCCTATTACTTTGGACCCCCTGTCTCCACCCTTTCTCTCTTTTCCCCTCCCCTTCCTTACCTTCCCTACTTCCTCTCCCCAGCCCCGCTTTCTCTTTCTTTCTTAGCGCTTTCTTACTTTTTGGCACTATAAGGTGCTACTCCAGGCTTATCTTCTGTGTTTCCTTCACTAGTGCTAGAACAGGCAATTTCTTCAAGGATCCCTGGTTCCTTTTATTGCAGAATGATATAAGGAACCAAGATCTGAGCACTAGGTGTGCCATAAAGATGTTGTTTCTTTTAGGCTTTCTTAGCTGACAGAAGAGAGAATTATATGTATATGTGCTAACCTGTGTACATACACCTATTTACAAATATTTATACATTTAACTATATTAAGCTGAAAATGAGCAAATCTCTCTCTTTTTTTTTTTTTTTTTTCTGAGACAGAATCTCTGCTTTCAGGCTGGAGTGCAGTGGCATGATCTTGGCTCACTGCAACTTCCGCATCCTGGGCTCAAGTGATCCTCAACCTTCCAAGTAGCTGGGACTACAAGAGTGCACCACCACACGCAGCTACTTCCCATGTTTTTTGTAGAGATGAGGTTTCACTACATTGCCAAGGCTGGTCTTGAACTCGGGCTTAAGCAATTCTCCTGCCTTGGACTCCCAAAGTGCTAGGATTATAGGCATGAGCCACCACACCCAGCAGAGTTAATTCTAACATCTTTAACTCTAATCTATTACCATATGAGTCATTCTAGCCTCCTCCACTTGCCTGTAATCTGTGTAGGAAAGCCTTTATCAGTTTGGATACAGTGCTTGTGTACAGTTTCTTTTGCCTTTAGTCTTAAGGTCTCTGCTCATTTCCAAAGTTGCTTAAATCAGCACCTTTTCTCTATACTTCTTTCAGTGAGGTTTTTCTTTCTTTTTTTTTTTTTTTTCTCTTTTTTTTTTTTTTATTTTTATTTTTTATTATACTCTAAGTTTTAGGGTACATGTGCACATTGTGCAGGTTAGTTACATATGTATAGATGTGCCATGCTGGTGCGCTGCACCCACTAACGTGTCATCTAGCATTAGGTATATCTCCCAATGCTATCCCTCCCCCCTCCCCCGACCCCACCACAGTCCCCAGAGTGTGATATTCCCCTTCCTGTGTCCAAGTGATCTCATTGTTCAATTCCCACCTATGAGTGAGAATATGCGGTGTTTGGTTTTTTGTTCTTGCGATAGTTTACTGAGAATGATGGTTTCCAATTTCATCCATGTCCCTACAAAGGACATGAACTCATCATTTTTTATGGCTGCATAGTATTCCATGGTGTATATGTGCCACATTTTCTTAATCCAGTCTATCATTGTTGGACATTTGGGTTGGTTCCAAGTCTTTGCTACTGTGAATAGTGCCGCAATAAACATACGTGTGCATGTGTCTTTATAGCAGCATGATTTATAGTCCTTTGGGTATATACCCAGTAATGGGATGGCTGGGTCAAATGGTATTTCTAGTTCTAGATCCCTGAGGAATCGCCACACTGACTTCCACAATGGTTGAACTAGTTTACAGTCCCACCAACAGTGTAAAAGTGTTCCTATTTCTCCACATCCTCTCCAGCACCTGTTGTTTCCTGACTTTTTAATGATTGCCATTCTAACTGGTGTGAGATGATATCTCATAGTGGTTTTGATTTGCATTTCTCTGATGGCCAGTGATGATGAGCATTTCTTCATGTGTTTTTTGGCTGCATAAATGTCTTCTTTTGAGAAGTGTCTGTTCATGTCCTTCGCCCACTTTTTGATGGGGTTGTTTGTTTTTTTCTTGTAAATTTGTTTGAGTTCATTGTAGATTCTGGATATTAGCCCTTTGTCAGATGAGTAGGTTGCGAAAATTTTCTCCCATGTTGTAGGTTGCCTGTTCACTCTGATGGTAGTTTCTTTTGCTGTGCAGAAGCTCTTTAGTTTAATTAGATCCCATTTGTCAATTTTGTCTTTTGTTGCCATTGCTTTTGGTGTTTTGGACATGAAGTCCTTGCCCACGCCTATGTCCTGAATGGTAATGCCTAGGTTTTCTTCTAGGGTTTTTATGGTTTTAGGTCTAACGTTTAAATCTTTAATCCATCTTGAATTGATTTTTGTATAAGGTGTAAGGAAGGGATCCAGTTTCAGCTTTCTACATATGGCTAGCCAGTTTTCCCAGCACCATTTATTAAATAGGGAATCCTTTCCCCATTGCTTGTTTTTCTCAGGTTTGTCAAAGATCAGATAGTTGTAGATATGTGGCATTATTTCTGAGGGCTCTGTTCTGTTCCATTGATCTATATCTCTGTTTTGGTACCAGTACCATGCTGTTTTGGTTACTGTAGCCTTGTAGTATAGTTTGAAGTCAGGTAGTGTGATGCCTCCAGCTTTGTTCTTTTGGCTTAGGATTGACTTGGCGATGCGGGCTCTTTTTTGGTTCCATATGAACTTTAAAGTAGTTTTTTCCAATTCTGTGAAGAAAGTCATTGGTAGCTTGATGGGGATGGCATTGCATCTGTAAATTACCTTGGGCAGTATGGCCATTTTCACGATATTGATTCTTCCTACCCATGAGCATGGAATGTTCTTCCATTTGTTTGTGTCCTCTTTTATTTCCTTGAGCAGTGGTTTGTAGTTCTCCTTGAAGAGGTCCTTCACATCCCTTGTAAGTTGGATTCCTAGGTATTTTATTCTCTTTGAAGCAATTGTGAATGGGAGTTCACTCATGATTTGGCTCTCTGTTTGTCTGTTGTTGGTGTATAAGAATGCTTGTGATTTTTGTACATTGATTTTGTATCCTGAGACTTTGCTGAAGTTGCTTATCAGCTTAAGGAGATTTTGGGCTGAGACGATGGGGTTTTCTAGATAAACAATCATGTCGTCTGCAAACAGGGACAATTTGACTTCCTCTTTTCCTAATTGAATACCCTTTATTTCCTTCTCCTGCCTGATTGCCCTGGCCAGAACTTCCAACACTATGTTGAATAGGAGTGGTGAGAGAGGGCATCCCTGTCTTTTGCCAGTTTTCAAAGGGAATGCTTCCAGTTTTTGCCCATTCAGTATGATATTGGCTGTGGGTTTGTCATAGATAGCTCTTATTATTTTGAAATACGTCCCATCAATACCTAATTTATTGAGAGTTTTTAGCATGAAGGGTTGTTGAATTTTGTCAAAGGCTTTTTCTGCATCTATTGAGATAATCATGTGGTTTTTGTCTTTGGCTCTGTTTATATGCTGGATTACATTTATTGATTTGCGTATATTGAACCAGCCTTGCATCCCAGGGATGAAGCCCACTTGATCATGGTGGATAAGCTTTTTGATGTGCTGCTGGATTCGGTTTGCCAGTATTTTATTGAGGATTTTTGCATCAATGTTCATCAAGGATATTGGTCTAAAATTCTCTTTTTTGGTTGTGTCTCTGCCCGGCTTTGGTATCAGAATGATGCTGGCCTCATAAAATGAGTTAGGGAGGATTCCCTCTTTTTCTATTGATTGGAATAGTTTCAGAAGGAATGGTACCAGTTCCTCCTTGTACCTCTGGTAGAATTCGGCTGTGAATCCATCTGGTCCTGGACTCTTTTTGGTTGGTAAACTATTGATTATTGCCACAATTTCAGAGCCTGTTATTGGTCTATTCAGAGATTCAACTTCTTCCTGGTTTAGTCTTGGGAGAGTGTATGTGTCCAGGAATTTATCCATTTCTTCTAGATTTTCTAGTTTATTTGCGTAGAGGTGTTTGTAGTATTCTCTGATGGTAGTTTGTATTTCTGTGGGATCGGTGGTGATATCCCCTTTATTATTTTTTATTGTGTCTATTTGATTCTTCTCTCTTTTTTTCTTTATTAGTCTTGCTAGCGGTCTATCAATTTTGTTGATCCTTTCAAAAAACCAGCTCCTGGATTCATTGATTTTTTGAAGGGTTTTTTGTGTCTCTATTTCCTTCAGTTCTGCTCTGATTTTAGTTATTTCTTGCCTTCTGCTAGCTTTTGAATGTGTTTGCTCTTGCTTTTCTAGTTCTTTTAATTGTGATGTTAGGGTGTCAATTTTGGATCTTTCCTGCTTTCTCTTGTAGGCATTTAGTGCTATAAATTTCCCTCTACACACTGCTTTGAATGCATCCCAGAGATTCTGGTATGTGGTGTCTTTGTTCTCGTTGGTTTCAAAGAACATCTTTATTTCTGCCTTCATTTCGTTATGTACCCAGTAGTCATTCAGGAGCAGGTTGTTCAGTTTCCATGTAGTTGAGCGGCTTTGAGTGAGATTCTTAATCCTGAGTTCTAGTTTGATTGCACTGTGGTCTGAGAGATAGTTTGTTATAATTTCTGTTCTTTTACATTTGCTGAGGAGAGCTTTACTTCCAACTATGTGGTCAATTTTGGAATAGGTGTGGTGTGGTGCTGAAAAAAATATATATTCTGTTGATTTGGGGTGGAGAGTTCTGTAGATGTCTATTAGGTCTGCTTGGTGCAGAGCTGAGTTCAATTCCTGGGTATCCTTGTTGACTTTCTGTCTCGTTGATCTGTCTAATGTTGACAGTGGGGTGTTAAAGTCTCCCATTATTAATGTGTGGGAGTCTAAGTCTCTTTGTAGGTCACTCAGGACTTGCTTTATGAATCTGGGTGCTCCTGTATTGGGTGCATAAATATTTAGGATAGTTAGCTCCTCTTGTTGAATTGATCCCTTTACCATTATGTAATGGCCTTCTTTTTCTCTTTTGATCTTTGTTGGTTTAAAGTCTGTTTTATCAGAGACTAGGATTGCAACCCCTGCCTTTTTTTGTTTTCCATTTGCTTGGTAGATCTTCCTCCATCCTTTTATTTTGAGCCTATGTGTGTCTCTGCACGTGAGATGGGTTTCCTGAATACAGCACACTGATGGGTCTTGACTCTTTATCCAACTTGCCAGTCTGTGTCTTTTAATTGCAGAATTTAGTCCATTTATATTTAAAGTTAATATTGTTATGTGTGAATTTGATCCTGTCATTATGATGTTAGCTGGTGATTTTGCTCATTAGTTGATGCAGTTTCTTCCTAGTCTCGATGGTCTTTACATTTTGGCATGATTTTGCAGCGGCTGGTACCGGTTGTTCCTTTCCATGTTTAGCGCTTCCTTCAGGAGCTCTTTTAGGGCAGGCCTGGTGGTGACAAAATCTCTCAGCATTTGCTTGTCTATAAAGTATTTTATTTCTCCTTCACTTATGAAGCTTAGTTTGGCTGGATATGAAATTCTGGGTTGAAAATTCTTTTCTTTAAGAATGTTGAATATTGGCCCCCACTCTCTTCTGGCTTGTAGGGTTTCTGCCGAGAGATCCGCTGTTAGTCTGATGGGCTTTCCTTTGAGGGTAACCCGACCTTTCTCTCTGGCTGCCCTTAACATTTTTTCCTTCATTTCAACTTTGGTGAATCTGACAATTATGTGTCTTGGAGTTGCTCTTCTCGAGGAGTATCTTTGTGGCGTTCTCTGTATTTCCTGAATCTGAACGTTGGCCTGCCTTGCTAGATTGGGGAAGTTCTCCTGGATAATATCCTGCAGAGTGTTTTCCAACTTGGTTCCATTCTCCACATCACTTTCAGGTACACCAATCAGACGTAGATTTGGTCTTTTCACATAGTCCCATATTTCTTGGAGGCTTTGCTCATTTCTTTTTATTCTTTTTTCTCTAAACTTCCCTTCTTGCTTCATTTCATTCATTTCATCTTCCATTGCTGATACCCTTTCTTCCAGTTGATCACATCGGCTCCTGAGGCTTCTGCATTCTTCACATAGTTCTCGAGCCTTGGTTTTCAGCTCCATCAGCTCCTTTAAGCACTTCTCTGTATTGGTTATTCTAGTTATACATTCTTCTAAATTTTTTTCAAAGTTTTCAACTTCTTTGCCTTTGGTTTGAATGTCCTCCCGTAGCTCAGAGTAATTTGATCGTCTGAAGCCTTCTTCTCTCAGCTCGTCAAAATCATTCTCCATCCAGCTTTGTTCTGTTGCTGGTGAGGAACTGCATTCCTTTGGAGGAGGAGAGGCGCTCTGCGTTTTAGAGTTTCCAGTTTTTCTGTTCTGTTTTTTCCCCATCTTTGTGGTTTTATCTACTTTTGGTCTTTGATGATGGTGATGTACAGATGGGTTTTCGGTGTAGATGTCCTTTCTGGTTGTTTTCCTTCTAACAGACAGGACCCTCAGCTGCAGGTCTGTTGGAATACCCTGCCGTGTGAGGTGTCAGTGTGCCCCTGCTGGGGGGTGCCTCCCAGTTAGGCTGCTCGGGGGTCAGGGGTCAGGGACCCACTTGAGGAGGCAGTCTGCCCGTTCTCAGATCTCCAGCTGCGTGCTGGGAGAACCACTGCTCTCTTCAAAGCTGTCAGACAGGGACAGTTAAGTCTGCAGAGGTTACTGCTGTCTTTTTGTTTGTCTGTGCCCTGCCCCCAGAGGTGGAGCCTACAGAGGCAGGCAGGCCTCCTTGAGCTGTGGTGGGCTCCACCCAGTTCGAGCTTCCCTGCTGCTTTGTTTGCCTAAGCAAGCCTGGGCAATGGCGGGCGCCCCTCCCCCAGCCTCGTTGCCGCCTTGCAGTTTGATCTCAGACTGCTGTGCTAGCAATCAGCGAGATTCCGTGGGCGTAGGACCCTCTGAGCCAGGTGTGGGATATAGTCTCGTGGTGCGCCGTTTCTTAAGCCGGTCTGAAAAGCGCAATATTCGGGTGGGAGTGACCCGATTTTCCAGGTGCGTCCGTCACCCCTTTCTTTGACTCGGAAAGGGAACTCCCTGACCCCTTGCGCTTCCCAGGTGAGGCAATGCCTCACCCTGCTTCGGCTCGCGCAGGGTGAGCACACACACTGGCCTGCGCCCACTGTCTGGCACTCCCTAGTGAGATGAACCCGGTACCTCAGATGGAAATGCAGAAATCACCCGTCTTCTGCGTCGCTAACGCTGGGAGCTGTAGACCGGAGCTGTTCCTATTCGGCCATCTTGGCTCCTCCCTCCAGTGAGGTTTTTCATATTCTTGTAACACAGTTGATTGTCCCTATTCTGCATTCCATCCTGTAATTCCCTGACTTCATTAATGATTTTTTTTAATTGTCTTCATCCATTTATACACTTTCTAAACTATAGTTTCTTGGCCTTTTCAGGCACCAATGCATATATATATTAATACTTCTTTACCTAAAAATTCAAGTACGAAGCATGTTGCTCTTTGTATTAATCTGTGCTTTTACTCATAGATAAAAGAATCCACTTTAGCTAGTTTGAAATATATTATTAGTAATAATAACAACAGAAGCAACAACAACCATAATGTAACATTAATGTATTTACCATGTGTCAGGATGCATTCTAAATGCTTTACCTATATTAACTCCTTTATACTGTATGAAAACCCTATGCAACAGCTACCTATTTGCACCACTTTTCAGATAAGGAAACTGGCATAAAGCAGTGAGATAACTTGCCTGAGATCACACAATTATTAAGCGGCAGAGCCAGGATTGGAGCCCAGGCTACTTTCCCTAGCTCCCAGAGTCACAAAAAGGACTAGAGGGACAATTCTAGGCTGATTTCTACTAACAACTCCTGGAAACACCCTGAGGAACTGGCCACTGATCCCAGGACCCCACTGCCCTATCCATGATAGCAAGTGGCCTCTCCTGCTTCCCCCACTTCCAATCATAGAAACATGTGGCCTCTGCCACCCCCCGGGCTGCAAAATGGAAATCCCATACCTGCCATTTCCTCACTTCCAAATCATAGGCCCTTGCAGTTAGGTCTGGTTGAAAGAAACTAAATCACATGCCTGAACCTTAGTATCTCAAGAGACTTAGACTTGTACTGTTATAGTAGAACCATCATATTCTTAGTGCTGCTTCAGTGTGTGTTTTGTAATTAGCTAAGCAACAAGAAAATAAAATATTGTGTTTTGGATTCTCATAACAATCCTAGTTCTAGACGAGGAAACTGAGGCACACAGAGTAAGATAACTTTTCCAAGGTCACACAGGTAATAAATGGGTAAGTCAAGTTTTGAACTTGATAGTCTATTGTAAAAAATTAAGCTCTTAACCACTCAGCAATATTGCAAACTATTTTTCTAGACAGTGAGGTAATGCAAAATGGTGCATGGACAAGAGATTTTGCATTTTTTTCTGTTGTTTTATTTCTGGTAGCTTAGCTACTTTAGCTGAGTGCTATCTCCCAAATTCATAAGCCCACAGACACCACCTCCCAGGCTGGGTACCACCACAGCCCTGGGTACTGCACCTTACAAGCTTGAGAACATGAAAAACGTCTCTAAGGACAGAAAAATCTTAGAGGGGGCCTCTGGTAGCTTCTTGGTTACAGAGCTGCTTCTATAGCTCTGGCCTCCTACTATGCAGCAACTTAAAACATTAAAGGAGCTTTAAAGTTATAAAATGTTATCATCACTAGCAATAATTTTGGAGGGGCAGGGATAGTGTCTCCTTATTACTTTTGACTTCCCTATAGTGCCCACACATTTGCAACTAGTGGGCCTTCAATCACTCCTTTATACAAGAGGGAATAAAGAAAAAAAATTTTGAACTCCTTTCAAGGGCTGCAGCATGCTGCAGGCTATAATTTGCGTGAGCCCTGGCCTCTCCCCACCAATCTTGAGTTTACATCCTGGGAGAATGGGTGAGGCTACTGCAGAATCAATAGTTGGAGAAGGCAGTGAAGTCTCACGAGATTTGCTCTCTCTCATTCCCTGTGTGAGGCTTAGAATTCAGCTGGGAGTAAGAGGTTACTCATTTGTCCCTATGAGAATTAATCACTTTTGTGGCCAGCCTCACCTTATTTAGTTGACTTTCATCTCATGCTCCTCCTCACTGTCTTCTTCCCATTAGCTGCTGTGTGCGTGGGGAATACCAAGCAACCTTCACAGTGATCCCAGTGAAGTGCAATCAAGAAGGGAACTATGCTGGCTACAGAAATCACAAACAGCATTAAGTATTCAAATATCAATGAGTTTTGGATTATTTGTGCCACTGCATACCCAATTTTCCCTCTCCTGCATGAATAACCTGCAAGACATCTAGTGCCCCGGGGAGGGGTTGGGGATGGTCTCTTTAGTGGACTCCAATCCAAAGCACATTTTACAGGACTACTCCCTTCACCTGATGCAACTCTCTCCTCCTTTTACATTTCAACCTCCTCCACCCCATTCTAACTCTAGGGGAGGGTTTTCCAGAGGGTCAAAAGGGTGATATATTCTCACTTTAAGGCCAGGTCCAGATTAGGACTTCTACAGACCCGGCGTACACTCTGTGGATGATTGTATTATTTCTCTCAAGTATGTGCTCTCTCCTTCTCTATTATACGTGCCCTTTTATGGCCATGGGACTTGTAGTCCTCCTGAGGGAGGAGCTTACATCCCTCTTTACTTGGCCATGTGACAGGCTTTGGCCAAAGGGATGTGAGCAGAAGTGTTGTCTGCCTTGCGTAAAAGTTGCTTTAAAAGGCACCATGGGTTCCATGAATTCTCCTGCTCTGTTTCCTCTTCCACAAGTATGCCATGTCCCGAATATGGGCTGCTTCTTCAGCCTGGGTCTTAGAGAGACAAAACATGGGGAACAGGGCTGGGAAGAACCACCACAAATGACCTGCACCAGCCAACAATTAAAATTCATGATCAATAAATGCTGGTTATTATAAGCCAGTGGAATTTGGGGGTTCTTACTGCAGTAAAACTGACTGATATTCTCATGTATAATTCAAACTAAGAACTATCCTGAAGGTTAGGGATGCCCAATAAATTGTAATTTTCTCTCCCAACCACAATGATTACTTCAATGATTTATTGGACCTCACTGAATATCAATTTATTTATAACATTTGTTTCCTCATTTTGTTATGGCCACCTGCTGTGTGTGTGTGTGTGGAGGGGAGGGGGGCGGTGCTCCAAACATGAGCTCAGCCTCCCTCTTGGGTAATCCTGAAGAAACCATGCTTAAATGGACAAAAGTAATGGTTCCCGGTAAGTCAGGATACCCAGTGGCTTATGCATTAATCAGCTTTGTGTGATTTTCAGCAAGTAATAAAACCTGACTGTTACTCAGATGATTCATTTTTTAAAAGCAGCAGCTTAGACCAAATAACTTCAGGTTTGATTCAGCTATAAAATTTATAAGGTCTGGGGGGGACTAATAAATAATGGCCCATTTCCCTACCCATGTTTGGAATCTATTGTAAAAGAGCCACACTCAGGAATTATAGATGATGGAGATCAAAATAGGTTTTATTGTGATAAAAGCTCTGTTGGAGGCCATGGCTCAGCATGCAGCTAAAGGAGCCGCTAACCTTCCTCTGAATTTATCTTTCCTCCCCAAACTCTGTGCCTTCTCTTGCCATAAGGCTGGTGCAGAAGAGACTGTGCACTGCCTGCAGATGCCCACAGCCAAGTACGGAAGGGGATAAGCCCAGGGATCTCACCCTCTGCTCCCAAACTTTCCAATCAATTGTCACTCTTTCTACCCTCTGTTGGGGAAAATGGGTTAATGTAGATAGAGGTAGGCCTGCTACTCCTCACTTGGAAACATGGATCCTGGGGAAAGGAAGATCCCCCCCATAAGAATTCTATAAATCTGTAATTTGAAAGCAGGTTCAGAACACAGTGGAAAGAACATGTGGCAGAAAGACCTATACTCAAACCTGGGTTCATCACAGACTTCTGTAATTTCAGGCAGGTCAACTCACCTCTCTAGGCCTCAGTTTTCCCCTCTGAAAAATATGGATAACAAGAATACTAGCACTGCCTAGCAGATAAGATTGTTCTGTGAATCTAATGAGACAATATGTGTGAAAAAGTTTTGAAAACGATGCACTGTACAAGATAAGGTTAAAGTGAAAGGGATATACTATTAAGTCATGGAAATTAGTGACTGTATAGCTGCAATTTCTAGCCACAATTTTAGCTTTACTAAGAAAAGCAAGTCAGAGGATGGAGGCAGTTTTCTGAATACTATGCTCGGGTTTCTGGACAGACAGCCCAACATCCTTTTCACCCCACCATCATACTGATGGTTCCTGAGTCACACCTGGAAGCCAAGGACTCCAGTCCTAACAAAAATTCTATTTTGTTCAGGCTTCCAGGGCAGCCGAACACTGAGTCCACTACCGTTCCCCTGTGTTGCATTGTTTTTCTCCCCTTGGACCGGGATGGGCAATTTCTGTCCTTTTTGGGTGATCTCTTTCTTCTCAGTAAAGTGAGTGGCGGTAACAGGCTAGAATGCTCTGTCAGGGGAGAGCCAGGAACAGGGGAGTCAGGATCAGGAGACCCAAGAGCTCCCCTAGGCTCTGCCTTCGCTCAGTTTTCCACACTGCTTTTGGCATTGCCATAAATTTAGCATTTTCCAAAGTGTATTTCTCAGATTGCATGTTCCCCAAGACACTCAAACTCAAAAAGTTTCTGTGGTTAAATTAGTTTAGGAAAGGCTCCATGTATAATTCCCCCTCTTTGAGAGTTTCAATGTCCATTAACATACCAAAGGCCCTTAAAAGTCCTATAAATCCTCTAGCAAACAAAGGTTGTTTATTATTTGCTGTTGTTTAACCCAGAACTTCTAAAATGTATTTGGCATTGAAACACTTATTTTTCAAGAAGCACTACTAACATCCTGGTTTCATGTGGTGAGTGAATCTGACCTTCAAAAACCCCACTCGCACTTCACCTCCATGAAAGAAGGTTTGGCGAGAGTTCTCAACCTTGGCTGTGCACTAGAGCCATCTGGGAAGCTTCTACAACACCCAATACTTAGACTGCCCCCAAACCAATTAAATGAGCAAATCTGGGGTTGGGTCCCAGGCATCAGTACTACGTAAAGTTCCCTGAGTTCCAGGGTAAGACAAAGGCTGAGAACCACTGGATTAGAGGAAAACGCTTTGGTGGTAACTTTCATTGCCATTGCCTGCCAAGGTCAGCTGAGTTAGCTTTTCACATAGTAAGGCCAGGCTTATTATTTCACAAGAAATAGGAAAAATGTAAAATGCTCATGGTGACTAAGTGAAAATGTCTACTGAAGGAAACTAATAATTTCCTTCAGTTATGTGCAAACATTTATATGGCACATAAACATATATTCTAAATACTTTTCATATATTATTGAAGTGACATTATTTGTCTGGGGAAATACCCAAGGTTTGTTGTCTCAAGCCAAGGAAATCAAAGACATGGATGCACAAGGAATGGGTTTAGGAGCAGAGGTTTAATAGGCAAAAGAAAGAGAAAGGAGAATAGCTCTCTCTCCTGCAGAGAGAGAGGGGCGTCAAAGTGGGACTTCTGGTCCACGGTCCATGGTCCATGGTGGAGTGTGCAGGGTGGAGGGGAGGAGGAAGAAGTTTGGGGTTTATAGACTGGCTTGAAGAGGCAGTGTCTGATTTACATAAGACCTAAAGATTGGTTGGAGCAGGTGTGACATTTACATAGTCTGTGAAGAAGCTGGCCACACGACCCTAATCTTTTTATCATGCAAATGGGTTTTCTACCTGGCCAGTGGCCATGTTGTCTGCTCCTTACTGTACACGTGGTTGACAAGGAAAAGGGAAGATGGAGCCGCCATGTTGAACTTGCCTAGCCCCCAGGTAGCCTTCTCCTATTGGCACAGCTGCCAGCATTCATCCATGCAAGCTTCCAGCTTGCTTATCTATGCTGTGGCTTGGTTTTTTAGGCTCCTTTTTTGTTATAAAAGAAATGATTTGGGGCTGCTTTTCATTCAAGGGAAAACCTTACTGAGGACTTTCTTACCCTATCTGTCTAAATAATTTCTTTTTAACTCCTATATCATTATCACATTTCCACATGTAATAACATAATTCTCTTGACAGTCCTTAAGGGGCAAGTATTTTTAATGACCATTTTACAGGTGAGAAAACTGAAGCATGGAGTTAGGGGTTAAACCACTTAAGGAAGAGCCAGCTGACTTAGTAAGTGAGAAAGCTGGGATTTGAACTTGAGTGATCTTGCTCCCAAATCTCTAACCAACCTTATTGTGGAGTCCTGATAAGGTAAGTAAACAGCAATGAGGAAAGGGTTCCAGGTTAAGGAGAATGATTGTTCTGAGAGACAGTGTGATGGTTAATATTGAGCATCAACTTGACTGGATTGAAGGACGCAAAGTACGGTTCCTGGGTGTGTCTGTGAGGGAGTTGCCAAAGGAGATTAACATTTGAGTCAGTGGACTCGGAGAGGCAGACCCACCCTCAGTCTGGGTGGACACCATCTAATCAGCTGCCCCCGTCGCTAGAATAAAGCAGGCAGAAGATGGAAGAGCAGACTTGCTGAGTCTTCTGATCTTTATCTTTCTCCTGTGCTGGTTGCTTCCTGCCCTCAAACATCAGACTCCAAGTTCTTCAGCTTTTGGACCCTTGGACTTAACCAGTGGATTGCCAGGGGCTCTCAGGCCTTTGGCCACAGACTGAAGGCTGCACTGTTGGCTTCCCTACTTTTGAGGTTTTGGGACTCGGACTGATCGACCACTGGATTCCTTGCTCTTCACCTTCAGATGGCCTATCATGGGACTTTACCTTGTGATCATTATGAGTCAATTCTCCTTAATAAAATCCCTTTCATATAGACATCTATCCTATTAGTTCTGTCCCTCTAGAGAACCCTAATACAGATGGCTAATCGCAAACAACGTTTTGGCACAACTACCTCGCTCTGCAGGAAGCCCCAGCAGCATGACCTCGTTCTACATGGAGCCCCCTCCAGCATGATCCTATGAAACTTCCCTCCAGTCCTTGCTGTAAGATTCTCCCTGGGGCCTGAAAGCTTAAGGAGATGAATAACTCCTCCCTTCTCAGGCCCAGTCCCAAAGCACAAGGCCACTTGTGTCAGCAGCGTGAGCCAGCAAGATAGCAGAAGCAAGAAGAGAGCCGGCTGGAAGACATGTACCCCTGAAGATCGAGAAAAAGGCCATCTGGGCATAACGTAGCAGTTACATCAGACTAGGACACTTCCCGTTTACAGGAGACTATAAAAGCTTTGTCCTGTCCTCACTAGGGTCTAACGCCATTTTAGGCCTCAGCCCACCTGCACCCAGGCGCTCATTAAAACAGCATGTTGCTCCACATTGCCTCGTGTTGTCTCTTGGCGTGCTCTTGGGGTTTGAACCAACACAAGAACCTTACGTCCGGTGCTGAAACCCAGGAGGGGCTCAGGTCTGTGCCCCCCTTGGAACTACCCCTCCACCCCAGAGAGCAGGCCACAGCAGCCAGACAAAGGAAGTTCTTCAGCCTCCAGTCACCTCTCTGTGCATGCACATCGGTTACTGATCTCGCCTACTAGTAAGTTTCCCCAGGAGCCTGGTTAACAGAGAAAAATCCACACGGCCTCTCTTGGTTCCTCCGGTCTGAAAATCCAGTGTTGGTCCAAGAAGGCTCTGGCATGTGCCAGGCACTTGCTGAATCATCTGGTCTTAGGGGGACGCCTCTAGGCCATTTGATCCCCTTCCGGAATGAAAAGGCAGCAGTGATGATTGCTCCTTTTATTGTCTCCCTCCAGCCATCCAGGAAGGTCTTTTTCCCTGTTCTCCCAAGCCTACCCTCCATTATGGGAAACTCCCAGTCCTCCATTCTAAAAAACAGCCCTCTAGGCTGCCTCATAAAAAACCTGTAAACCTTAGGCCTCAGGCAAGATACTCGCCCTAAGCACCTTGTGTTTTTGCAATTCAGTCTGGCCACAATACGAATTGGATAATGAGTTCGAATGGCCCGCAAATGGAACAATCGACTTTACAATTTTAACTGATTTAAGCAATTATTGCCCACAACTGGAGAAATGGCGAGAAATTCCTTCTGTCCAGGCCTTTTTGCAATCAGATCACAATGCGACCTCTGCAGTTCTTGCTCACCTGTTCAAATCCTTCTCCCCCATTCTCACCACCTTGATTGCCTTTCTCCTCCTGACCCTGCCTCTTTTTCCTCATTTGATTCAGCTGGCTGCTGTCCACCCCTCTCAGCCCCTACCTCTTCCTCTCAAGATCTTCTTTAACTCCCCAAGCCTCCTCGTTGCCTTCTCAGCCGCCATCTTCCCAGATGCCATCTTCTCAGCCACCACCTTCCCAGCCACCATTTTCCCAGCTGCCATCTTCTTAGCCACTATCTTCCCAGTCAGCTGTATCCACTTCTTTTCCTACACCTTCCCCTCCTCAGGACAATTCTAGTATTGCCTGTACCCATTCTCCTTCCTCACCGCCCTCTCCTGAAGACTGTAAACCCATCCCGCCACCTTACACCCCTATCTATCCTCCACTGCCTGGTAACTCAACCCCTTTTCCCCCTTCAAATCCTCAGCAGAAACCACTATTTTAAACCTTTGGTTCATCTCTCAATCCACCCTCAATATTCAGTGCAAGCTTCGGAAGCTTGATGACAGCCCTGAAACCCTACAATGAGACCTTCCTAATTTAGCCTTCAAAGTCTTTAACAATTGTGACTAGGAAAGTAGAAGGCAAAAACAGGCAGAGTTTCAAATGCTTGCCTCTGCCATCAGGGGCCCTGCAGGCCCACGGGGCCGCAGCTCCACACGGAAGCCTCCTAACAATCCATCTCCACCTGGCGCCTGTTTCAAGTGCTGCAATGAAGGCCACTGGTCCAGACAATGCCCAAATCCAGGTAAGCCCACCAGGCTGTGCCCCCTCTATGGAGGACTCCACTGGAAGTTGGACTGTGAGCAGCCCCCGCAAGGACCGCCCCCGACCCTTCCTAAGCTGGCCAAAACCTCCTACTTGGATCTCATCAGCCTTACTGCTGAAGACTGATGGTGCCCTGGAATGGATGCCCCAGCAATTACCATCTCTTCATCCAAGCCAAGGGTAACTCTGATGGTAGAAGGTAGGCCAGTATGTTCTTTTAAAATTAATATCGGGGCAACCTACTCTGCTTTATCTAATTTTTCAGAACCCACCCAATCCTCCCAAGTCTCTGTTGTGGGAATTCATGGATAAGTCTCCAAACCCCGAGCCACCCCTCAACTTTTCTGCTTCCTGCACCCTTTTTCCTTCACTCACTCTTTCTTAGTCCTGCCCTCATGCCCAACCCTGCTCCTAGGCAGAGATATCCTTTCAAAACTCCACACTACTCTCCACTTCCACATTCCCCATAGTACCCAACACATTACCCAGACCCCTCCAGTACTTCTAGCTTTCTTCTACTCCTTCACCCTCCCACTCTAAAACATGCAACTTTTCCTTATCCCCCATCTGTAGTTAACCCTGCTGTTTAGGATACTTCCACACCCTCAGTCGCAGAACACCACACCCCCATCTGCATTATCCTTAAAAAGCCCACCCAGTTCCTATCACAGAAGCAGTATCCCATCTCCCAAGCAGCTCTCATAGGCCTAAAGCCTATCATTTTTCGCCTCCTTGCCAGTCACCTACACTGCCCAACAAACTCCCTTTTAACACACCAGTTCTACCTGTTAAAAAGCCAGATGGAATTTATCGCTTAGTACAGGACCTAGGCTCGTCAACCAAGCTATACTCCCAGTGTGTCTAGTAGTTCCTAACCCATATGCTTTACTTTCTGCAATTCCCTCCAATGCCACCCATTTTTCTGTCCTAAACCTAAAGAAAGCTTTTTTCACAATTCCTTTGCACCCTGATTCTCCAGACCTCTTTTCCTTTACATGGGAAAACCCCGACACCCACCTTTCACGTCAGCTCACCTGGTGCGTACTACCTCAAGGTTTCAGAGACAGTCTCCACCTTTTTGGACAGGTCCTTGCTCGTGACCTATGTACCTTATCCCTAAAACCGTCCACTCTCCTTCAATGTGTTAATAATCAGCTCCTGTGTAGCCCCTCTCAAAGAAACTGCAATGCCCATACTATCTCTCTTTTAAACTCCTTGGCAGAACGGGAGTACTAGGTCTCCCCTAAGAAAGCAAAAACATGCACCCCCTCAGTCACCTATCTAGGCCTAGCCCTTACCCTGCGAACCCAAGGGCTTACAACCGACCACATATCCCTCCTCCAGTCCCTCCCACCTCCACAAACTAAGCAAGAAATTCTCTTTTTTTTTTTAAAGTAAAAATGACAAATTCATATACATATGTTAAATGGTACAGCTTCTCTTTACATTAGCTCCCCGAGTTACAACCTCTCCCCTTGTGTAGGTACAAATCACTGATTAAAGTGCAGAAAAACTTCCCCAATACAGGAATCCGGCTTCTGAAAATATCTGTGCTGGAAAATTTGCAATGGAGGCATGGAAGACTTGAGAAAGGGAGGGCTGGGAAACAAGAGCTGTAACTCAATCTGAAGACACTCATAAATATCAATTTTAATATCTATTTACAATACAGCAATAAAGGCAAACTAAAAAAGGCTATACAAGGCATTTTGCACATCTTCATGTACTGGGTTCTCTGAAGCCCAATTCCTGTTAATATCTTTTGCTGGAAGAATTTTCTTTTTTTTTTTATTATTATACTTTAAGTTCTAGGGTACAAGTGCACAATGTGCAGGTTTGTCTCATATGTATACATGTGCCATGTTGGTGTGCTGCACCCATTAAGTCGTCATTTACATTAGGTATATCTTCTAATGCTATCCCTCCCCTGTCCCCCCATCCCACAACAGGCCCCGGTGTGTGATGTTCCCCTTCCTGTGTGCATGTGTTCTCATTGTTCAATTCCCACCTATGAATGGGAACATACGGTGTTTGGTTTTTTGTCCTTGCAATAGTTTCCTGAGAATGATGGTTTCCAGCTTCATCCATGTCCCTGCAAAGGACATGAACTCATCCTGTTTTATGGCTGCGTAGTATTCCATGGTGTATATGTGCCACATTTTCTTTCTTTCTTTTTTTTTTTTTTTTCTGAGATTGAATCTTGCTCTGTTGCCCAGGGTGGAGTGGAGTGCAGTGGCACGATCTCGGCTTACTGCAAGCTCCATCTCCTGGGTTCCCGCCATTCTCCTGTCTCAGCCTCCTGATTAGCTGGGACTACAGGTGCCCACCATCACACCCAGCTATTTTTTTTTGTATTTTTAGTAGAGACGGGGTTTCACCATGTTAGCCAGGATGGTCTCGATCTCCTGACCTTCTGATCCACCTGCCTTGGCCTCCCAAAATGCTGGGATTACAGGCGTGAGCCACTGCGCCCAGCTGTGCCACATTTTCTTAATCCAGTCTATCACTGATGAACATTTGGGTTGGTTCCAAGTGTTTGCTATTGTGAATAGTGCCACAATAAGCATACGTGTGCACGTGTCTTTACAGTAGCATGATTTATAATCCTTTGGGTATATACCCAGTAATGGGATGGCTGGGTCAAATGGTATTTCTAGTTCTAGACCCTTGAAAAATCGCCACACTGACTTCCACAATGTTTGAACTAGTTTACAGTCCCACCAACACTGTAAAAGTGTTCCTATTTTTCCACATCCTCTCCAGCACCCATTGTTTCCTGACTTTTTAATGATCGACATTTTAACTGGTGTGAGATGGTATCTCATTGTGGTTTTGATTTGCATTTCTCTGATGGCCAGTGATGATGAGCATTTTTTCATGTGTCTGTTGGCTGCATAAATGTCGTCTTTTGAGAAGTGTCTGTTCATATGCTTCGCCCACTTTTTGATGTTTTTTTTTTTCTTGTAAATTTGTTTGAGTTCTTTATAGATTCTGGATATTAGCCCTTTGTCAGATGAGTAGGTTGCAAAAATTTTCTCCCATTCTGTAGGTTGCCTTTTCACTCTGATGGTAGTTTCTTTTGCTGTGCAGAAGCTCTTTAGTTTAATTAGATCCCATTTGTCAATTCTGGCTTTTGTTGCCATTGCCTTTGGTGTTTTAGATATGAAGTCCTTGCCCATGCCTATGTCCTGAATGGTATTGCCTAGGTTTTCTTCTAGGGTTTTGATGGTTTTAGGTCTAACATTTAAATCTTTAATCCATCTTGAATTAATTTTTGTATAAGGCATAAGGAAGGGATCCAGTTTCAGCTTTCTACATATGGCTAGCCAGTTTTCCCAGCACCATGTATTAAATAGGAAATCCTTTCCCCATTTCTTGTTTTTGTCAGGTTTGTCAAAGATCAGATGGTTGTAGATGTGTGGTATTATTTCTGAGGGCTCTGTTCTGTTCCATTGGTCTATATCTCTGTTTCAGTAGCAGTACCATGCTGTTTTGGTTACTGTATCCTTGTAGTATAATTTGAAGTCAGGTAGTGTGATGCCTCCAGCTTTGTTCTTTTGGCTTAGGATTGACTTGGCAATGCAGGCTCTTTTTTGTTTCCATATGAACTTTAAAGTAGTTTTTTCCAATTCTGTGAAGAAAGTCATTGGTAGCTTGATGGGATGACATTGAATCTATAAATTACCTTGGGCAGTATGGCCATTTTCAAGATATTGATTCTTCCTATCCATGAGCATGGAATGTTCTTCCATTTGTTTGTGTCCTCTTTTATTTCGTTGAGCAGTGGTTTGTATTTCTCCTTAAGAGGTCCTTCACATCCCTTGTAAGTTGTATTCCTAGGTATTTTATTCTTTTTGAAGCAATTGTGAATGGGAGTTCACTCATGATTTGGCTCTCTGTTTGTCTGTTGTTGGTGTATAAGAATGCTCGTGATTTTTGCACATTGATTTTGTATCCTGAGACTTTGCTGAAGTTGCTTATCAGCTTAAGGAGATTTTGGGCTGAGACAATGGGGTTTTCTAGATATACAATCATATCATCTGCAAACAGGGACAATTTGACTTCCTCTTTTCCTAATTGAATACCTTTTATTTCTTTCTCCTTCCTGATTGCCCTGGCCAGAACTTCCAACACTATGTTGAATAGGAGTGGTGAGAGAGGGCATCCCTGTCTTGTACCAGTTTTCAAAGGGAATGCTTCCAATTTTTGCCCATTCAGTATGATATTGGCTGTGGGTTTGTCATAAATAGCTCTTATTATTTTGAGATATGTCCCATCAATACCTAATTTATTGAGACTTTTTAGCATGAAGGGCTGTTGAATTTTGTCAAAGGCCTTTTCTGCATCTATTGAGATAACCAAGTGGTTTTTGTCTTTGGTTCTGTTTATATGCTGGATTACGTTTATTGATTTTCGTATGTTGAACCAGCCTTGCATCCAAGGGATGAAGCCCATTTGATCATGGTGGATAAGCTTTTTGATGTGCTGCTGGATTCGGTGTGCCAGTATTTTATTGAGGACTTTTGCATCGCTATTCATCAGGGATATTTGTCTAAAATTCTCTTTTTTTGTTGTGTCTCTGCCAGGCTTTGGTATCAGGATGATGCTAGCCTCATAAAATGAGTTAGGGAGGCTTCCCTTTTTTTATATTGATTGGAATAGTTTCAGAAGGAATGGTACCAGTTCCTCCTTGTACCTCTGGTAGAATTCGGCTGTGAATCCATCTGGTCCTGGACTTTTTTTGGTTGGTAGGCTATTAATTATTGCCTCAATTTCAGAGCCTGTTATTGGTCTATTCAGGGATTCAACTTCTTCCTAGTTTAGTCTTGGGAGGGTGTATGTGTCGATGAATTTATCCATTTCTTCTAGATTTTCTAGTTTATTTGCGTAGAGGTGTTTATAGTATTCTCTGATGGTAGTTTGTATTTCTGTGGGATTGGTGGTGATATCCCCTTTATCATTTTTTATTGCATCTATTTGATTCTTCTCTCTTTTCTTCTTTATTAGTCTTGCTAGCAGTATATCAATTTTGTTGATCTTCTCAAAAAAAAAAACAGCTCCTGGATTCATTGATTTTTTTTGAAGAGTTTTTTGTGTCTCTATCTCCTTCAGTTCTGCTCTGATCTTAGTTATTTCTTGCCTTCTGCTAGCTTTTGAATGTGTTTGCTCTTGCTTTTCTAGTTCTTTTAATTGTGATGTTAGGGTGTCAGTTTTAGATCTTTCCTGCTTTCTCTTGTGGGCATTTAGTGCTATAAATTTCCCTCTAAACACTGCTTTAAATGTGTCTCAGAGATTCTGGTATGTTGTGTCTTTGTTCTCATTGGTTTCAAAGAACATCTTTATTTCTGCCTTCCTTTCATTATGTACCCAGTAGTCATTCAGGAGCAGGTTGTTCAGTTTCCAGGTAGTTGAGAGGTTTTGAGTGAGTTTCTTTATCCTGAGTTCTAGTTTGATTGCACTGTGGTCTGAGAGACAGTTTGTTACAATTTCTGTTCTTCTACATTTGCTGAGGAGTGCTTTACTTCCAACTATGTGGTCAATTTTGGAATAAGTGCGATGTGGTGCTGAGAAGAATGTATATCCTGTTGATTTGGGGTGGAGAGTTCGGTAGATGTCTATTAGGTCCGCTTGGTGCAGAGCTGAGTTCAATTCCTGTATATCCTTGTTAACTTTCTGTCTCGTTGATCTGTCTAATGTTGACAGTGGGGTGTTAAAGTCTCCCATTATTATTGTATGGGAGTCTAAGTCTTTTTGTAAGTCTCTAAGGACTTGCTTTATGAATCTGGGTGCTCCTGTATTGGGTGCATATATATTTAGGATAGTTAGCTCCTCTTGTTGAATTGATCCCTTTTCCATTATATAATGGTCTTCTTTTTCTCTTTTGATCTTTGTTGGTTTAAAGTCTGTTTTATCAGAGACTAGGATTGCAACCCCTGCCTTTTCTTGTTTTCCAGTTGCTTGGTAGATCTTCCTCCATCCCTTTATTTTGAGCCTATGTGTGTCTCTGCACATGAGATGGGTTTCCTGAATACAGCACACTGATGGGTCTTGACTCTTTATCCAATTTGCCAGTCTGTGTCTTTTAATTGGAGCATTTAGCCCATTTACATTTAAGGTTAATATTGTTATGTGTAAATTTGATCCTGTCATTATGATGTTAGCTGGTTATTTTGCTCGTTAGCTGATGCAGTTTTTTCCTAGCCTCGATGGTCTTTACAATGTGGCATATTTTTGCAGTGGCTGGTACTGGTTGTTCCTTTCCATGTTTAGTGCTTCCTTCAGGAGCTCTTGTAGGGCAGGCCTGGTGGTGACAAAATCTCTCAGCATTTGCTTGTCTGTAAAGGATTTTATTTCTTCTTCACTTATGAAGCTTAGTTTGGCTGGATATGAAATTCTGGGTCAAAAATTCTTTTCTTCAAGAATGTTAAATATTGGTCCCCACTCTCTTCTGGCTTGTAGAGTTTCTGCCAAGAGATCTACTATTAGTCTGATGGGCTTCCCTTTGTGGGTAACCCGACCTTTCTCTCTGGCTGCCCTTAACATTTTTTCCTTCATTTCCACTATGGAGAATCTGATAATTATGTGTCTTGGAGTTGCTCTTCTTGAGGAGTATCTCTGTGGCGTTCTCTGTATTTCCTGAATTTGAATGTTGGCCTGCCTTGCTAGTTTGGGGAAGTTCTCCTGGATAATATCCTGCAGAGTGTCTTCCAACTTGGTTCCATTCTCCCCGTCACTTTCAGGTACACCAATCAGATGTAGATTTGGTCTTTTCACATAGTCCCATATTTCTTGGAGGCTTTGTTCATTTCTTTTTACTCTTTTTTCTCTAAACTTCTCTTCTCGCTTCATTTCATTCATTTGATCTTCAATCACTGATATCCTTTCTTCCAGTTGATCAAATCGGATACTGAAGCTTGTGCATTCGTCATGTAGTTCTCATGCCATGGTTTTCAGCTCCATCAGGTCATTTAAGGACTTCTCTACACTGGTGATTCTAGTTAGCCATTCGTCTAATCTTTTTTCAAGGTTTTTACCTTCTTTGCAATATGTTTGAACTTCCTCCTTTAGCTTGGAGAAGTTTGCTCATCTGAAGCCTTCTCTCAACTCATCAAAGTCAAACTCTGTCCAGCTTTGTTCCATTGCTGGTGAGGAGCTGCATTCCTTTGGAGGCAGAGAGGTGCTCTGATTTTTAGAATTTTCAGCTTTTCTGCTCTGTTTTTTCCCCATCTTTGTGGTTTTATCTACCTTTGGTCTTTGATGATGGTGACATACAGATGGGGTTTTGGTGTGGATGTTCTTTCTGTTTGTTAGTTTTCCTTCTAACATTCAGGACCCTCAGCTGCAGGTCTGTTGGAGTTTGCTGGAGGTCCACTCCAGACCCTATTTGCCTGGGTATCAGCAGCGGAGGCTGCAGAACAGCAAATATTGCTGCCTGATCGTTCCTCTGTAAGCTTTGTCTCAGAGGGGTTCCCAGCCATGTGAGGTGTCAGTCTGCCCCTACTTGGGGGGAGTGTCTCCCAGTTAGGCTAATTGGGGGTCAGGGACCCACTTGAGGATGCACTCTGTCCGTTCTCAGATCTCAAACTCCATGCTGGGGGAACCACTACTCTCTTCAAAGCTGTCAGACACGGACATTTAAGTCTGCAGAGGTTTCTGCTGCCTTTTATTTGGCTATGCCCTGTCCCCAGAGGTGGAGTCCACAGAGGCAGGCAGGCCTCCTTGAGCTGCGGTGGGCTCCACCCAGTTCAAGCTTCCCAGCCACTTTGTTTACCTACTCACTCCTCAGCAATGGTGGGCACCCCTCCCCCAGCCTCGCTGCCACCTTGCAGTTCCATCTCAGTCTGCTGTGCCTGTGGGAGTGGGACCTTCTGAGCCAGGCACAGGATATAATCTCCTGGTGTGCCGTTTGCTAAGACCATTGGAAAAGCACAGTATTTGGGTGGGAGTGACCTGATTTTCCAGGAGCCGTCTGTCACAGCTTCCCTTGGCTAGGAAAGGGAATTCCCTGACCCCTTGCACTTCCTGGGTGAGGCGATGCCTCACCCTGCTTTGGCTCATGCTCGATGGGCTGCACCCTCTGTCCTGCACCCACTGTCTGATAAGCCCCAGTGAGATGAACCTAGTACCTCAGTTGGAAATGCAGAAATCACCCATCTTCTGCGTTGCTCATGACGGGAGCTGTAGACTGGAGCCGTTCCTATTCGGCCATCTTGGAACCGTCCCCCCAAGAAATTCTCTTTCCTAAGATTAGTGGGATATTTTAGACTCTGGGTTTCCTCCTTTGCTCTACTTGCCAAACCGTTATGCCAAGCCACTAAAGGCCCTCACCATGAGCCTTCAAACCCTGCACAGCCTATTACCCAACCTTTCTGTCTACTCCAGAAGGCTCTCACCTCAATCCCTGTCCGCACTCTTCCAGACCTCACCAAACCTTTTTCCCTCTACGCTGATGGATGGCGTGGAGTTGCACTGAGTGTTCTAACCCAATCTAAGGGACCCACCCTCCAGGTTATTGCCTACCTCTCTAAACAGCTTAAAGCCACAGTTCTCAGATGGCCTGTGTGCCTCTGAGCATTGGCGGCAGCTGCTGTCCTCACCCATGAAAGCCTAAAACAATCTCTCCATGACAACCTAATAGTTCATTCAACTGTTAACACCAAAGACATGCTAGCTCACAGCAGTGTACTAAGACTCATCTCTGCCCCATGGCTCCCCCAACTGTATACTCTATTCATAGAAGCTCCCCACATCACCATGCTAACCAGCTCCTGTCTAAACCCAGCCATGCTCTTACCTGAAGCTACAACCACCCAAGACCCTACACACTTCTATGTAAACACTGTTCAAACCTTTCTTATACCTTTTCCAAACCTGACAGACCAACCCCTTCCAGATGCCTCCTTTACTTGGATTGTAGATGGCAGCTCCTTCCTACATCAAGGATGAGGGCATGCTGGCTATGCTATAATGTCACCCCCCCCCACATTATTGCAGCCAATCTGCTCCCCCTAGGCACCACCTCCCAAAAAGCTGAACTCATCACCCTCACTTAAGCTCTCACTCAAGCAGCCAGACAACAGATCAACATATATTCAAATTCTCATTATGTTCCACCTAGTGCACTCACACTTGTCCATCTGGAAAGAACGGGGTTTCCTAACTGCAAAGAACCCTCCTGTCATAAATGGCTCTCTCATCAGCAAACTCCTTCAAGCTGCCAGGCTCCCACAGAAAGCTGCCATCATTCATTGCAGGGGCCACCAAACCCCAGACAATCCTATGTCAGCTGGAAATGTGCTAGTAGATCATGTAGCCAGAAAAGTAGCCCTACAACCTGTGCAAGGCCAGTTTCTGTCCCTGTCCGCCTTCTCTCCTCTTTACTCCTCAGAAGAAAAGGTGGACTTCTGAGCCCAAAACCTTCAAAAGCAAGGACCATGGTATGTCAAGGAAGGGCGCCTCATTATTCCTCACTCTCAAAGCCTTCCTCACCTCCAAAGCCTCTACAACTCTTTCCATGTCGGTTACAAACCTCTCCTGCAACTTCTCTGCCCTATCCTCACTTGTCCTCATCTTTCCAGCTGTGTTCAAGGGATTACTCAGTCCTGCTCTCTGCTACTTAGTGTCATCCCAGGGCTCCCTCTGGCTGCTGCCTTTTCCTACCCACCAAGCCCGGGGCCAGGTACCCCTGCAAGATTGGCAAGTAGACTTCACTCACATGCCACCTGATAAACGGCTCCGCTGTCTTCTAGTCTTGGTCTGTACTTTCTCCGGGTAGGTAGAAGCGTTCCCAAGAACTTCAGAAGGTGCAAATGTCATCACACAAACTCTCATCGTGCATATAATTCCCTGTTTCAGACTCCCAACATCCATCCAGTCCAATAATGGGCCTGTCTTCATCAGCCAAATTACCCAAGATGTCTCTACATCCTCAGGTATAAAATGGGTTCTCCACACACCCTACAAGCCTCAATCTTCAGGCAAAGTTAAAAAAATTAACTCTGTCCTTAAAGCCCAACTCACCAAGGTGGCTTTAAAAATCTGCCAGTTGTGGACAAAAAAATCTCCCTTTTGCCCTCATGAGACTCCGCACAACACCAAAAGCACCCTCTTTTTATAGTCCCTTTAAAATCATGTACGACTGAACTTTTGTCTTAGGACCTCCATCTTTACCAGATTCTAAACCACTCAAGAATTACCGCCCCTCCTTAATCCAGACATGGTCTTTCATTCGTGAAGCAGCAGATAAGGCCATGCCTCTCCCTGTTAACACCTCCTTGTCCTCTCAACATAACTGCCTTGCAGGCACAGACGTGTTTATCTGCCAACCCAACCCTCACCCAAAAGCTACAACCAATGTGGACAGGCCCCTCCACTGTGATATTCAGCATGCCAACTGCAGTGAAAATCCAAGGACTCCCCCACTGGGTCCATCACACCAGGGTCAAGCTCACCCCCAAGACTACTCCTTCCTCCAAAACACTAACAGTGGGCAACACCCTCAGAGTCCCTGTATGTAATAACCTAAACAAAGAAAAACCATCCTTAAAGCTAAGAGGAAGCCAAAGATGGCAAGGGGATGAATGGCCTCCGCAATGGATCATCGAATATTACGGTCCTGCCACTTGGGCTGAGGATGGTTTATGGGGTTATCGCACGCCTATATATGCTAAATAGAATAATTAGACTACAGGCAGTTCTAGGGATAATCACTAACCAAATCGCCTCAGCCCTGGAAATGCTCTTGCAACAACAAAACCAAATGCGCTCAGCAATTTATCAAAACAGGCTAGCACTAGACTACTTATTAGCAGAAGGGGGTGGAGTCTGTGGTAAACTTAATATCTCTAATTGCTGTCTTAACATAGACAATAACGGAAAAGCAGTTCTAAAAATTGCTTCAAACATCAGAAAAGTAGCCCATGTACAGTCCAAACCTAAAAGGGATGGGACCCAACAAACCTTCTAGGAGGATGGCTCTCTAATTTAGGAGGATTTAAAACCCTGGTAGGGACAGTAATCTTCATCACTGGGGTTCTCCTGTTTCTCCCCTGTGTTATCCCACTGATAATAAAAGCCATTAAAACTCTTGTTAAAACTACAGTTAACCACCAGACAATCCAAACGATGCTCCTGCTACAATGACATGATGGATACCAACCCGTCTCTCAAGAATACACCAAAAATTAAGTTTTTCTTTTTCCAAGGTGCCCAGATCACCTCTATGTCACGCCTGAAGTAGTTATTGAGAAAGTTCTCCCTTTTCCCTTTTCTATAACCAAATAGACAGGAATGTAAGATTCTCCCAGGGGCCTGAAAGCTTAAAGAGATGAATAACTCCTCCCTTCTCAGGCCCAGTCCCAGGGTGCAAGGCCACTTGTGTCAGCAGCGTGCACCAGCAAGATAGTAGAAGCAGGAAGACAGCCGGCCAGGAAACACGTACCCCTGAAGATCAAGAAAAAGGCCATTTGGGTACAACATAGCAGTTAGGTCAGACTAGGACACTTCCTGTTTACAGGAGACTATAAAACCTTTGTCTTGTCCTCACTGGGGGCTGATGCCATTTTAGGCCTCAGCCCACCTGCACCCAGGCACTCATTAAAACAGCACGTTGCTCCATAGCACCTCCTGTTGTCTGTTGGCGCGCTCTCGGGGTTCGAACTGGTACAAGAACCTCACACTCACTTCTTTGCAGACAGCCCTTTCTCTTCTGTGCTACCCATTGCACCCTTGCAACAGATCTTTGTACTTTCTCGAATAAATTGCCTTTCTTTACCTACAACTGTTCTGGTAAATTCCCTTACTGCCTGCGAAGTAAGTCACACCATGACACTTAATTTCCTTTTCCATGAATCTCTGGGTACTGAGATGAAACCGGTCATAGAAACTTTAACAAAACATCAGTTATAATTCAGATGAAGAGCCCCAACTTATGCCTCATCTAATCCATTGTCTTGATCTCCATGAACTAGACAGGGTTGTCTCATTCCCGTTTGCCCCATGAAGCCAGCAAATGCGGGGACCAGAGCTCGCCCAGAAAATTGGGTGGAAGAGGAAAGCTGTGGATATTTAGTAAGTGCTTGAGGCTGAGGGATACTCCTAAGATGCCTGGAATCACAGTTTGCAAGATGACTTGATACATTTTAGAGAAGCAGGTAGGGGAGTGGGTCCAATCATCCCAAAAGGGAGAGGACTCCAGGAGGAAGAGAGGAAGGGAAAGAGTCTCAAGTCATGCAGGGGACTGTGTCTGGACAGGTTGGCACATCTTCTGAACACTTTGGTAATGAACAATTCCACTCCTCATTGTGGGAGGGGCGGGTAGAGTAGTATCTGGAACAGAGAGGGGATAAGCAGGTTCCACAGGCTTTTGGCAAGCTTCAAAGGGCCACGTGTTGGGCAGTGAGGAGGAGCTCCCTGCAGGCAACCATCATCAGAAAAACAGTGAAGTCAATCTAGCAACTCCCCTCCCCAAAGAGAGAACTAGTTAGGGCATCAAATCATTTGGAAGGCCTGTTAAAGCACAGATTACTGCCTCTCACCCCCTAGAGTGTCTGATTTATAAGTCTGGACAGGGCCAGGGACTTTGCATTTCTAACCAGCTCCTAGTGAAGTCCATGCTGCTGGTTTGAGACAGCTGAGCTGGAGATGCCCCTGTGGGATAGTAACAAGGGGTCAGCCATTAGGAATGCACTTTGGACAAAGCTGCTCTTGGCCATTCTTGCTTCTGTGTCCTTGCCCAGAAGGGAGACTCTCTGCCACCAGCCAGGCCTCCTACTCCTTATTCCAAGGCTGTTGTGACCTCTCTAACCCCAGGTGTCTCCAGGTCATTTTGTGCATCTGGAGTCTTAACTGCAAAAAAATCTGCTTTCTTTCAAGGGAAATCCTTCCATTCCCTAAGAAGCAGAAGAGGAATCCCATCAGCAGGACTCAGCGTCATAGCTCCACAAAGTCCTTGTCCCTCCTGAGAGCCACTGCATCACTGCCTGTTGCTGGCTTAGGGGAGTTCCCCTGACAATGCTGTCTTCTCTGTGGGTTTCAGTGGTTCAGGAACTAGTACCTCTTTCCAAGAGGAATTTTTGTTTGAACATAGTGAATGTCACTAAACCCCCAAGTCCATTTCATAGGCCTGCCTCAGAAGTTCAGAGGGATTATGCAAATGAGGCCCCAAGGCTTGCCTCCAGCACATGGGGGTTCCCCCAGGCAAGTATGCAAACGAGGCCCATATAGTGACCCCCAGCTCACAAAAATGAAGTTTCAAGTTACTTGCTTTATTCTGCATTGCTTTTCTCTGCCTCCTTTCTTACCTCAGTCTCCTCACCTGGGAAAGATGCATGTTTGGTTTATACACTATAATAATGCTCACTGAGGCAGCTTGCTAGTTAAGAATTATGTTGCATTAAGGTTTCCTACACTGTATTGTACTCAAAAAAACATATGTCAGTGGGGTTTGAGAGCAGACAGGAGGGCTGAAGGAGATAGCCTCAAATGGGAAAGGCAGAATGGTAAATCTGCACCTCCACTCCTCATAGAATTCCTAATTTGTAGTTCAGTATACTCTACCTTTCAGATTTAATTTAATGCAGACAACCTGAAATGAAGATAAAGAGAGAAACAACTGAAGGGAGTATCCTTTACCTTTTCCAATGTGGAATTGATGACTTATACCAGTGTCCCATAAGCCTCCAAATGTTTAGCAATAGGAGGGAAGGAGGTGGGTGGTGTCAGGCTGATTTACATATTGTCTATTGTTCAAGTGCTACATGAGGAGGAGCAGGCGTTTGCTTTCGGTGGTATTCTTGGTCCTTTCTACATACAGGGAAATACAGTGATACATATAAAGGGTATACATCTATTCATAGGGCACTCTTTAAGGTAATTTGCATACAAATCCCATGCAATCTTTACAATATCAGCAAGGGAGGTACTATTAGCTCTATTTTCCAGCAGAAAAAGCCGAGGTTTAGAGAGGTTGGGGAACAGGTGTAAGCTGCAGAACTGGAACTTGAGGTCTCATAGTCTTCAGGCCCTTTGCTGCTGCCCCTGTGCTAAGTGCAAATATGTTTCCAGGTCCCTTAATCTCTTTTCATCCTCCTAGCTGACTCTAGGTTCTTTGCTGCCCTGGCCTCTCCCAGAATTCCCCAAATCCTCTTTTCCCACTCACTGCCTAGTTCTTTTCCTCTCTTGGGGTTACTCTTATAAATTGGAAATTTAGGCTGCTTGTACCTGCTGTGTAAGGGATGACTCATATTACAGGGGATGTGTATTAGCATAAAAATGATCTGTGGAATAAGGTTTTAAGAGTCGATAGGAAAGGAATTCACATCACAGAAGCATCGTGAGCCAAGAAACTTGTCCTCCTCCAAGAGAAGAGAGAGGATTAAAAGTTGAAACTAATGCAGAAAAATTTCTTGGCAAATGTGGAGAAAGAAGTAGGGAGAGTTCATACCAAAGTTTCCTTATGACTCAAATCAGCCCCTTGAAAACTTGGGGGTAGTAGTGGCTTCTACTTGGGTAATCAGAGGTGCTGTTTCTGGTGGCATCTCCTTTTAGGCCTCATTTTATTTGAATATCTGTCTTTAGCCTTCACTAACGTTTTGAGCAAGCCAAGCTTTTGAGGGCTCTTTGCCATACTTCCTGGAAGGGAGGCCCTGGCTGAGATTTCAGAATTCTGCTATTTACTGAACTGAGTATTAACACCCACTGAAGGGAGAGGTCCATTCAGTTTCCTAAGGGAATCTATAAAGAGACTTAGAAAATTTTTCTTTAAAAAGATCACGATGATGTATAAGCTAACCAGACACTAGGAAAAGAGGCAGTATATCCAGGGGATTAATTACTTGTCTAAGAACCAACTTAAAAAAAAAAATCAATCTTCTTGCCAGGTGCGATGGCTCATGCCTGTAATCCCAGCATTTTGGGAGGCCAAGGTGGGTGGATGGCATGAGCCCAGCAGTTTGAGATCAGCCTGAGCAGCATGGCAAAACCCCATCTCTACTAAAAAATACAAAAATTAGCTGGGCATGGTGGTGCATGCCTGTAGTCCTAGCTACTTGGGGGATTGAGGCAGGAGGACCATCTAAGCCCAGGAGGTTGAGGCTGCAGTGAGCTGTGATCATGCCATTCCCATATGGGCAACAGAGCAAGATCTTGTCTCAAAAAAAAATTAATTGTTTTGAATTAAAAAAATTCTAAAATGCATTGAACTCTCCAGTTTCTCTTGGAAGGAGGGAACTAAACATAAATGGATCTTTTCTTGGTCTAGCTGTGGGCCCAAATTTTCCTATATTCATTATTCATTAACAATCAGACTGAGCTGTGATAGGAGGAGTCTCAGGGGTATTAATGTTTCAGGGCTACTCATGTAATCACCCAACAGATATTCCTTGCCTGTTGCCTAAACTGAGCCAATTTATCAAGACAGGGGAATTGCAATAGAGAAAGAGTTTAATTCATGCAGAACCAGCTGTATGGGAGACTAGAGTTTTATTATTACTCAAATTGGTCTCCCCACAAACTCAGGGATTGGGATTTTTAAGGATAATTTGTTGGGTAGGGCAGTCAGAAAGTGGGGAGTGCTGATTGGTCAGGTTGGAGATAAAATCACAGGGAGTCGAAGCTGTCCTCTTGCAGTGAGTCAGTTCCTGGGTGGGAGCCATAAAACTACATGAGCCAGTTTATTGATCTGGGTGATGCCAGCTGATCCATCAAGTTCAGGATCTGCAAAATATCCGAAGCACTGATCTTAGGTTTTACAATAGTGATATTATCCTGAGGAGCAGTTCGGGAGGTTCAGAATCTGGCAGCCTCCAGCTGCATGACTCTTGAACCATAATTTCTAATCTTGTAGCTAATTTGTTAGTCTTGCAGATGCAGTCTAGTCCCCGGGCAGAAAGGGGGTTTGTTTTGGGAAAGGGCAGTTATCATCTTTATTTCAAAGTTAAACTATAAACTAGGTTCCTCCCAAAGTTGGTTTGTCCTATGCCCAGGAATGAACAAAGACAGCTTGGAGGTTAGAAGCAAGATGTAGTCGGTTAGGTCAGATCTCTGTCACTGTAATAATTGTCTCAGTTATAATTTTTGCTAAGGTGGTTTCACTCAGTCTTCCATTAAATGGCACAAGGCTATGAAGTATTAGTTGGCTATTGTGTCAGCTATTTAAATTTTTTGGCTCTTTCTGTTGATATGCTCTATATAGTGTGTAATATATATGTACATAGATAAATCAATAGTAATACATGTTGCTATGAACTTTAATGACAGATTATTATTATACTAAGTATTATCTTTCTCAAAATTGGTCATGAGCTTTATTATCTCTCCTGTCTTTTAGCAGATACAACCATAGATACAACCGGAAAGATTGTTTATAGACTATGATTGGTGACTGCATAACTTTTAATTCCTCTTCTTTTGGTACCAAAAAGTGGAGGTCACCATTTTCTTCAAATAACACTATGGCTCCATGCCAGTAATTGATTTTGTAATCAGTACTTCTAGTATCACTTTAAATGAATGTTCCTACATAGAGATTTAATTGGAATTTAATAAGAGTGCATAATAAGTAAAAGCATATTTACTGAGGATTAACCGCCAAGGAGATATAAATCTATTATGTATAAACCCTGATAAATATTTTTAGAATATTAAATTATATGTAAACATTGTGTATCACTGTAAGTAAATCCAGATCTTTAGCTATATTTGCTATTCTCTTTTCTAAGTAAACATAGCTGTTTATTATAACTAAACTCCATCTTAATCTTATTAACTGATTCAGTACAGTTTAGGGTTGGGAAGGAAAAATCCTCACCCTTAATGTAAAGCAGACTTTCTCAGTCAGTAAGCCTAGGATGGGACCTGAGAATCCACATTTCTAACTAGTTTCTGGGTGATGTGGCTGGTCTGGGAACCATACTTGGAGAAGCACTGAAGTCAAGCTTTATCTTGTTTTAAGATTAAAGATAGATTTTTCACTTTCTCTGCTCTAACTTAATGTCTGGTCTTAGCTAAAATCTTCACTCATAGGTTGAATACGGCCACACATTTTTTGGTCACTGTCCCCATTGAGAGGCATGGGTTATTTCTCCTACCCTTCAATCTAGACTAGTTCTGTGATTGCTTAATCAATACAATGCAGAGGAAGTGATGCTTTAGCAGGACCAGCAACTTCTGCCTCCTCCCTCTTGGGCCCAGCTGCCAAACTGTGGGTAAGCCCAAGCAGAAAGGTCCACATGGAGGAGAACTGAGGCCACTGGCCAATAGCCTCATTGAGCTCCTGGGCAACGAGGACCAACTTGCCAGCCATGTGAGTGAGCTGCCCTGGAAGCTGAGCTGTACCAGTTTATACAACACAGAGCAGAGACAAGCCATCCCTGCTGAGCCCTGCCCAAAATTGCAACCAGAATAAATAACATTACTGTTGCTTTATACTGTTTTGGGATGGTTTATTTTACCAAGATAACAAAAATTTACCTGTCTCTAAGCTTTCCAAGATAAGTCAAGCATAGATTTTGAATTCTCAGAGTTTGTGTTATAACATCAAAAGAAAAATGTTAACAAGTGACATTTTATGAATGGGCAGAGGTTTATTTCAGAATTTGGCTTTTCAATGGCTTTATTCCCCACAGGCAGAATTTGACTTTATGTGGGGCAAAATAAGTAACTGTCAACAAAGGCATCATTTCAGGGTGTTGGGAAAGTCTTCTTCATTCCTTAACATATGATCTCATAGGGTCACTGATGCCCCTATTTCAATAATTATAACTTAATTCTTTTGCTTTGCATAAATGAGACTTTGTTAGTAAAATGCAAAGAACAATAATGATTTAAAACCTTAATGTTTAGTAGCCATTTACCACTTACTGTCATGCCACACTTGTTCTTCCCTAAGAGTAGTCACATCTGGTTTCTTCACAGTGGGCAGGTGTGACCTCTCATAACCACAATCAGGAACCTTATGTGTATTGTGCAGGAATTCCGCTCTTTTAAGTATAGACCTTGTTAGAAATGCAAATTCTCAGGTCTCACTTCAAACTTATTGAATCAGAAACTCTGGAGGTGAGACCCACCAGCAGCCTGTGTTTTAACAGTTCCTCCCACTGATTCTGATGCATGCTAAAGTTTGAGAACCACTGATGCAGGGTCAACAGCTCTTTTAGTATCAATTTCATTGGAAGAAGCAATGAAGTTGAAAACACATTTACTCATGGAATCAAAGCCATACTTGGAAAATTTATGCTACTGATCAAAAGCTGATACAACTTTTAAAATGCTTGCCCATTAACAGCATACTTAGCAATTATCATTTATGTCAGCATAGAATTTATTTGGTGTTTAAAATTTGATCAAATAGTTTATACTGTATCAGTTTCAATGCGACCTTAGACACCCAATTCATGAAAATAATATATTGTGTGTTTTGTAATATGTTTCAACTGTGTTTTCATTACAATCATCAGAAAGTAAAGCAGTATTCTCTTTTTTTTTTTGAGACAGAGTCTCGCTCTGTTGCCCAGGCTGGAGTGCAGTGGTATGATCTCTGCTCACTGCAACTTCCACCTCCCAGGTTCACGCCATTCTCCTGCCTCAGCCTCCCGAGTAGCTGGGACTACAGGTGCCCGCCACCATGCCCAGCTAATTTTTTCTATTTTTAGTAGAGACAGGGTTTCACTGTGTTAGCCAGGATGGTCTCGATCTCCTGACCGTGTGATCTGCCCACCTTGGCCTCCCAAAGTGCTAGGATTACCGGCGTGAGCCACCACGCCCTGCCAGCAGTATTCTTATAATAAGGGATGTTTAACACAGTTCAACAACTTATTGCCCAGAATACCTATTGTCTGCAAAATAGTCTGCTGTGCAATGCCGGGTTTGAAAGATCTCAGTGAAGTTTAGTTGGAGTAATAAAAACAGAATAAAAATCACTTCAGTCCTAGGTGGACTATCAGTAGTGTCAGAAAAGATGTACAGAATATTTCAGAGATTTTCAAAGTAAAAACTGCAAAAAACTAGTTAGAGAGACAAAGAAGCTTTCTTAAGGTATTCAATGCAACAATAAAAACAAGATTCCCTTACAGTAGTATAGCAATTTATACCTTATAAAACAGCTTTGCCCATGTGCTATCTTATTTCACTCTTGCATTATGTAGGGCAGGGATTCTCAAAGTTTGTTCCCCAGACCAGCAGCATCAGTATCTCCCGGGAGCTTGTTAGAAATGCAGATTCTCAGGTCTCACTTCAGATTTACTGAATCAGAAACTCAGCGGGGTGAGACCCACCAGAAATCTTTGTTTTAGCAGATCCTCCCCTGATTCTGATGCATGCTAAAGTTTGAGAACCGCTGATGTAGGATAAACAATGTATTAATACTTTTGATTTCACATATGATAAAAGGAATTATTTAAGTTGGATCTTATCACGTTTCTAAAACTACACCAGGAAACCAAATTCCAAATTCACATTATTGTAGCTTCAATATGTAATTTTCTTTTGAATTGCATCTTGAAGAATGGGTAGGATTTTCACAGGTAAAGAAGATTGAGTATTAGAGGGCGTGGAGGAGGCTGGAGTTATTTCAACTAGGTGAAAAATTATCTTTGAGATTTCAAAAGATAGATTTGGGGAAACAGGCTTTTAGGCTCTTTTCCCCCATGAAATATGTCCTAGGATGTTTATTTTGCTTGTCTGTATTTCTTGTTGAATATATGCAGAGATAACTCTTGGCAGTGCATTTGGGTTGAAATGTTTGGGCCTTTACAAGCCTTATGCTTCCTTTTCTTGCTATGCTACTTTAAGAATAAATCTTAAGAATCAGAGACTAATCCTATTTATTCCTTTAATTCAAAGGATGACATTTTTCAAATTTGTAAGTGATTTATAATACAGGATCCTAAGCTCATCAAATGCAGGGATTTCATGCCTTTGGTCTTCAACTAGCGGAAATCAGAGATAAATTTGGGCCAGTTCCAACAGATTGAGACAGGGACCTCTAACACTCATTGGTGACAGCCTGCTATTTCTTACTGCATCGAGAGGACTGAGGCTCTTCTGGGACGTTTTGATGATCAATAACTTGGACAAAGATTCTTTAAGGCAGAGCCTTAAAAAAAGAAATTAGTTCCTGGTCATTTTACTGTAACACTGTTGATATGGGATAAATGTGGCCTGATTTAAGTTTCCAGTTGACTACTGCATATTGATTTTGACATTTATCAACCATTTTAATAACTTTTTAAAAATCTTTTAAAATTTTATTTCCTTTTTACATACAGTAAAATGAATTCTTTATGGGGTACTGTTCTATGTGTTTGACAAACACATATAGTTCTACAATTACCTTCATAATCCAGATAAAGGGCAATTCTATCCCCTCGAAATATTCCCTCACATTTGCTCCTTTGTAGTTAACCCTTTGGGCTCTCCCCAGCCCCTGGGAACCAGAGTCTGTTTTCTGTTCCTATAATTTTGCATATTCTAGATGACTTTATAAGTGGAATCATATAGAAAGTAGACTTTTGACTGGCTTATTTTGCTCACATAATGCATTTGAAATGTTTATTTCTCCTTTTTTTGATGAGTAGTATCCCATTGTATGTTTGTACCACAGCTGGTTTATCTTTTTTTTTTTTTTTTTCTGAGGTGGAGTCTCCCTCTGTGGCCCAGGCTGGAGTGCAGTGGCAAGATCTCGGCTCACTGCAAGCTCCACCTCCCGGGTTCACGCCATTCTCCTACCTCAGCCTCCTGAGTAGCTGCGACTACAGGCGCCTGCCACCACGCCCGGCTAATTTTTTGTATTTTTAGTACAGACGGGGTTTCACCGTGTTAGCCAGAATGGTCTCTATCTCCTGACCTCGTGATCCGCCCGTCTCGGCCTCCCAAAGTGCTAGCGTGAGCCACCATGCCCGTCCAGCTGGTTTATCTATTTATGAATTGTTGGACATTTGGTTGCTTCCATTTTTGACAATTATAAATAAAGTTGCTATAAGCATTTGTGTATACTTTTTGTGGGAATATAAATTTTCATGATTCTTAGGTAAATACCTGGGAGTGATGTTACTGGGTCATATGGTAAGTATATGCTTAACTTTATAAAAGACTTTCAATTTCCCAATGTGGCAGGACTATTTTACATTCCCACCAGAAATGGAGGAGAATTTCTGATGCTCCACATTTTTGCCATTATTTGGTGTTATCTGTAAAGCTTTAGAAAGTTTAGCTATTCAAATAAAGGAATGGTGGTGTCTCATTGTGGTTTTAATTTGGATGTCTTTAGTTACTAATGATATTGAGCATTTTTTCGTGTACTTATTTGCCATTTGTATATCTTCTTTGGTGAACAGTCTATTCAAATCCTTTGCACAATTTTAATTGGGCTTTTTTTTGTCATTGGGTTTTGAGGATTCTTTATATATGATACTGTTAAGCTTTGTGTCCCCACAGAAATCTCATCTTGAATTCTCATCCCCAGGTGTTGAGGGAAAGACCTGCTGGGAGGTGACTGGATCATGGGGGTGGTTTCCCCCATGCCATTCTTGTGATAGTGAGGGAGTTTTCATGAGATTTATGATGGTTTTATAAATGGCAGTTTCCCCGGGCTTTTCACTCGCTCTCTCTCTCTCTCCTGCTGCCATGTAGGAAGGTCCAAGCTTGCTTCCCCTTCGGTCATGCTTATAAGTTTTCTGAGGCCTCCCCAGCCATGCAGAACTGTGAGTCAATTAAACCTCTTCCTTTATAAATTACCCAGTCTTGGGCATTTCTTTATAGCACTCTGAAAACAGACTAGTACAATATATTCTCCATAAATCATATTTAGTGATCTGTTTTGTAAATAATTTTAGTAAATGTTTGGAGACTTAACACATTCCCCTCTCCTTTGTTCTGTGATATAATAAAAACCTCACAGTCTTGTCCTAAGTTGCTGAACTGTTACATCACTTGGCCGACATCTGCATCATGACATGATTTCCAATAAGCCAGCTCTCTCCTTGTGATTTCTTTTTCTTTCTTTCTTTTCTTTTCTTCTTTTTCTTTTTTTTTTTTTTGAGATGAAGTTTCACTCTTGTTGCCCAGGCTGGAGTACAATGACGTGATCTTGGCTCACCGCAACCTCTGCCTCTTGGGTTCAAGCAATTCTCCTGCCTCAGCCTCCCAAGTAGCTGGGATTACAGGCATGTGCCACCACGCCCGACTAAGTTTTGTATTTTTAGTACAGACAGGGTTTCTTCATGTTGGTCAGGCTGGTCTCGAACTCCTGACCTCAGGTGATCTGCCCGATTTGGCCTCCCAAAATGCTGGGATTATAGGTGTGAGCTACCACACCCAGTCTGTGATTTCTTAAGAACGTATTGGCATTCAGATTGAAACTAGGTATACAAGGACTCAGAAATGTTATGTAAAGGGGTGGCAGGGGCCTGGGGATATAGAAAGGCTAGAAATAAAGGGATGAGCCACATGCTCTTAGCATATTAAGATGCGATTTGACATCATCCATTTGTGGGATACCTCTCATATGTCATAAATATGTTTGGTACAATTGATAGAATATCTCATTAGGGGTTATGCATAATGGTTAAAAAAAACTGTATTTGAATATATACCAGTGACTCCCAGTAAACCTCTCAATACTGTCACTGCATAGATATTCTTTGGGGCACCAAATTATCTTTTTAAGGTTTTCTTGTCTTATCTTCAGTTACTGATAACAGATTCTTAGACTTTTAATAACCCTATGGCCTAAATCTCATGATCTTTTCTCATTTGTAAAGATACTGATGATGTAGGCTAAAAAGATACTGATGATGTTGTAAGGTGAGCACTGTGTTAAAAGTAAAGGCTTCGTTTTTTATATGACTGTTAACATACCTCTCTCCCTTGGCCATACCTCTACTTGAATAAAGTTCAATCAGATCTGGCCTTTGAAATAATTGCAGTAGGGCTGCAGTGTGTTGCTGTCAGTGACTGCTGTAGGCAACAGACCTCAGTGTTCAAGAGACCTTCTATTTGTTCTTCCCAAGCTATGCCCAGTTGAACTGATGCCTTTAACAACCAAGTCCAGTAGCTATCTCTCAACAACACTGGCACTGAAAAAAGCAGCATGTGTGGTGCCACCTGCTGCTTATGCCTGCCCTATGCCTAGGTATGCTCCCTGGGCAACTGCATGTTCCTCCAGTTTGGTCCTTAATCCTATCTTTGTGTTTATATGACGGCATTCTACTTTTTCTGTGTGCATATGTATGTATTTTTAACCAGAGTCTTACCCTGCACTGAAGCTGGCTGGAGATTGAACATGCTGTCTAGCCATTACCAGTCTCATTTGCCAGGGCTAGTTCTTGCATCTCATGTGTTTCATACCTGGCTTAGATCCTGCTCCCGAATCAGGTAGGCCTGCTGAACCAATAATGCTCCTGCCATTCCATCTCCACTCCTGCAGAGGGATGTTTATTCAGAACATAGGCCACCTCCACCCACCTAATGACTGTCACTCTTGGAAGGCATTGGCTATACATTGGTGTTTGACCAATTTCCTGCTTTTCCATGGACCACAGATGTTGATTTTTCTCTTTAAAGCTTTTCCAAAAGCAAACCACCTACTACTTAAACAAGAGAAGATTTATTACATTTAATCAAAAGGATAAAGTGTTTCTATAGGAATGCTCTACACATCAGCAAAAGTATCATCCCAGCTGCAGCTGAGTCAGCTGTCAACGCCTTCCTGAACATCCCTCCTTCTACCACGGCTGTGCAGTAACTGTGGGTCCAGGTTTTACCCCCCAGCATAAAACCATGAAAGGGCAGTCAGATGTCAGATACCACTGCATTCCTCTGCTGAGATGACCTCCTGCAACACAAGCTGATTTCTTAATGCAAGTCAGTTTTATGGATTTTGCTGCCACTCAAGCTGGCTCTTGGCCATTTATTTGTTGGTCAGTCTGAGCATGGTATCCAAATGTTCCTCAAATTATCAGAAAGCAACGAGGAAGTAGTAAGGTCAGATATTGGTTGTATTTCAGGCCTCAGTTCCAATCTGAGATTACTTGCAGGGATGGAGTTCTCAAACAAGTTAGGCTATTTGTGTACTTCAAGGATTAGGAAGTCTGTACATTTTCTTTAAGAAAAAGAAAATTTTTCACTTAAGAAAAAATCTCTTATTGAGACACATCTTCAATTTCTTCCTATTTGAGAATAAAATTCAGTTTTTCTGCTTTCAGTAGCCACTTGGAACCTCATAGGGTACAATGCATATATCAGCCTAGACATATAGAATCCAAAATATGTGTGTGTGTGTGTGCGTGCACGTGCGCGGATATGCACATATTTGTTATTTGTTGGAAAGGGCCCTTGAAATCTGCTATAAGCCTTATAGACTTAAACCCTACAATTATTACAATCTAGGGAATTCTATTGTTCTATAGTCTTTGTCTGAGTGCTCGTGGATGTGGCTGTTGGCTGAGTTTGAGCCCTGCTTGTTCAGAACCTTCTGAAACACCTGATGGGCACCATTCATTAGCCACTCCTAAAGTAGTGAACTAGAGATGGGCTGGTGTTCCTGGTCCAGCCTCTTCCTGCCCTGCCTTCTTTCTCAGTAAGCCTGTATTGCAAAGGTCAGGGAAGGGAAACACTGTAATCCACTTGATTGATATCCATTTGACTGTCTGCTACAATATTCGTGGGATCATTGGTAACAAAGGTCATTTTGCAACCAGATTTGAGTTTCTATTTCCTCTCCTTCATATCTTCCTCCTCATCCCTTTCTTTTGGGAAAAAAATAACCATTTATATTTGCAACAGCCCAACAAATTCCAAATGCTGGCAAAGATGGCGCTGGCCGTGTTTAGTCTTGTCAACATCTCTTTCCTGAGGCTTCTTTCTCCCTTCTTGATGTTCATTCTCACTTAAAATGAAGTCTATTAAATACCCTGGACAAATTTAGAGATTCACTACTTTATGCACTGGAAGAATAACAGTGAGAGATATGGCCCTGCTCTTTAGTTGCTAAAATGCTAATATCTGAGTATAGTTGAAAAATAGGAATAAAGATAGAGTTTTTAACTTTTCATTCTAAAATGAGATCAAAGCTAGGTAGAACAGTGGAGACTTCGGGTGGCTCCTTACCCTTCATTGTTCTATCGCAGTCTCACCTGAGTCTTCATTTAAACATTTAGTTTCCCTGTCCCTTTCCCTGAAGATTTTGGGATAAAGATCAACAATCTGTCTTTTTCTAAACCAGTGCTCCTACATGATTCTCAGGGTCTTTCAAATTCAAGAGACACTGGCCTAAAGGAGCTAAGTCTGAGTCTTAGCTCCTTTAGTAAAAGGATCTTAGAGATCATCACTTCCCCTCATTTTTCAGATCCATAATCTGGGGTACAGGGAGTGTCTGGGCCCTGCTAAAGTCATCCTACTCACTGATCGAGAAACTGTCTTGAGAACCTGGGTTTCCAAACTCCTGGCAAGGTATAGGGTGCTTTTTCTGCCACACCACCTGAAGATCGCCAAGATGGATGCATATACCTGGCGCCTTCGTGGAGATCAGAGGAGGACCAACAGCAACACATTAATCTGAGAGAACGTGCCTTTCCAGTAATATCCAACCGGTAGCTCATGTGATCACCCGGCACCTCAACAGTGTGCCATCCACCTCAGAGGGCTGGAGAGATGGCACCAACTAATCCTTCATGCCTGTTCCCAGAAAGAGATGGTGCTGGCCATGTTCAGTCTTGTCAAAATCTCTTTCCTGAGGCTTCTTTCTCCTCTCTTTATGTTTGCATCTGGGGAGTTAATCAAATAGATTGTGAATATTGGGAAAATATTGTATTTGATTTTACGTTCTGTATACAGCCAATGATAGGTCCTCAGAATATGGGGAAAATGATACAAAATTAGCTTTTTCTACTCTTTTGACTCAACTGAATTTTACTATGTGCTCTTTAAATCCAATATCTGTAAATTATTGCTGGGATATCTGGTATCTTTAATGAAGTCCATTTATTTTAAGGACATGTATAAAAATAAGGGAAAAAATCATTTACTGAGAGTATAAAAATCTGTTTAGGTGTTTTGAATATATTATATGTATTATATACTTGGTAGAATTATAAAGTAATAGGACTTTTTTTTTAAATGAACCCAAGTTTTCATCCCCTTCAAAGAAGTATTCCTGGAAATTAACCTGTGAGTCATATTAAAAAACCAAAAGAAAAACCTGCTTCATTTTTTATCCCAAACTCTATAATCTTAAATGATCATTCATACCACTACTCAAATTCCAGGTGACTTTTGAAAGGGGTTCCAAGAATCAAATTTGCCTGTGAACATACAGGTTTAAAATATTTAAATGCATGTGTTTCAGTTGTTGGGGAAATATAATTCTGCCAACACAAGACCCTTCTGAAACATAGAGAAGAGGGAGAAACCATTTATTACCTGGTGAGCATTATCAGATTTACACACACATCCAGCAGCATGGAAGTGACTATAAAGTCTGGACAGAATCGCACATAAATTTATACAGTAAAGTAGAAAAAAAGACAATTAAAATGTCTCATCTGTTTGACAGACAAATGAATATGCACCTTGTGATTGTCCCTATATGCCTCCCGTGTTAATTTTGGAGGCATGTATTTATAGTTCCAAGGGTCAGAAGGCTTGTGACCTGCTTTGTAAAATCAAAAGTTCTGTGGCCTCTTAGTTTTCAGAGACACTCTAAAGAGGAGAGCGCGAGAAGACATCCACATCCCTTATTAAAGAACGTTTTGTCACTTTACACTTACATGTGCCTTGAAGCCAATTCCCTAAGAAATGTTCCAGCAGTGATCTGAGACACATCTGTATGATTGGAAGCAGGATGTTACCTGCTAGGGTGACTATTTGGAACAAAACCCACTAATTTAGTTATCAAAGTCTCAGTATGTTTACTTAAAAAGTCAGTTCCAGTCCCAGTTTGTATGTGGGCAGAATTGCTAAATGTGAACGTTCATTTAAAAAGTCATTTTGCTGAGTCACTCATTCAGTGAAAACCCAAGGGAGTTAATTACACAGTGGGAGTAGAGGCCGTGAGGGCAGATGACTCGATTTGCTCACAGAAAGGAGATGGAAGTGAGGGCCCAGCTTGAGGAGCTGCCTGGGTAGTATTTTCTGAAAGACTAGCGGGAGTCCAGACACTTCCCAACTTGAAGGAAGTGCTACTCTTTTGTTTTAATGCTGTGACTTTGACTAACAGCTAAGCGGAAGCTGTGAGGTAAAGTGCCAAAGCTACAGGAAACAGGTAGAGGATTTGCCAACAAATAGAAATAATTAACATTTTCTTCTAAACAAGTAGTGATATGGGAGGCAACCTCATTGATGTTATGCTGGTTTGTTTTCCACTTTCTTTGATATACTCAGCTTTTTATTTTATTTTTTATCTTTTGAGACGGAGTCTTGCTCTGTCTCCCTAGGCTGAAGTGCAGTGGTGTAATCTCGTCTCACCGCAACCTCTGCCTCCCAGATTCAAGCAATTCTTCTGCCTCGGCCTCCTGAGTAGCTGGGACTAACAGGCGCCCACCACCATGCCCAACTAATTTTTGTATTTTTAGTAGAGACGGGGTTTCACCATATTGACCAGGCTGGTCTCGAACTCCTGACCTCAAGTGATCCACCAGCCCCGCCCTCCCAAAGTGCTGGGATTACAGGCATGAGCCACCACGCCCAGCCTACTCAGCTTTTTAGAGCAGCTCTATCCCATAAAATTTTCTGCGATGATGCAGATGTTCTGTATCTGTAGCTGTCTATATGTAGCCAGTGGTCACGTGTGACGATTGAGCACTTGAAATGTGGATCATGTGACTGAGAAACTCAAGATTTAATTGTGTTTAATTTTAATTAATATAAATGTAAATAGTTACAAGGGCCCAGCAGCTACCGTATTGGACAATACTTTGGAAAGAACCAAGTACTTCTATAGTTCCTGGAAAGTACTTATACTTTTTTTTATAAATTTTGCTCATTTATTTTTTTCTTCCACAGCCATATTGTTAACTGAAAACACATAAAGTACGAGTGTTACATTTTTTTTCTTTCTTGTTCCAAGTAACTTTTCCCTGTGTCTGCAGCGTTACAGGCCACTAAGGTCAATCTCATCCTCTAGGACAGGACTCAGTGGGAAGCGTGATTGCCTGGTAGTACTAGGCTTTTTCAGACTTGTTGGCACCCACCCTGATCAAGAGCTAGTAGAGCTGACATGTCTTAGCAACTTGGCAGACAGAGAAATCACCACTCACTTGGCTTTGGTCATTTCCCTTGTGTTCTCTATTTCTTTTCTGAGAAGACTCTGGGGAAGTGAGAAATTGCACTGCTCATGCTGTGGGCTCTGGCACAGAATTCTGGCTGTTGGGGCAGCAGATGTGCTGCGGGAGGTATCTTTCAAGGAACTGCATATGGGCCAATGTTGGAGGAGGAGGTATCTTTTTAGATAGGATTCTTTCCCTGCCACACAAATGCTGGCTCTTATCTCTATAATTCCCCTGTGAGATTTAATATCTCTTTCAACACACGACCATGTGTGTTGAATAAAGGTTGAATAAAGGCACAAAGCATAATTGCTTTCATTTCAAATCCTGCTGGCTTTATGTATATTCCTTAAACAAACTAGAAGGACACTCAGGGATGCTGTGACATTATTTCTTCATTTCACTAACACCTGTGCCGGAGACCCAGGGAGGGGAAGTGTCTTTTTGGGGGTCAGGGTTGCATGGCTGGTTCCTATAGAGACTGGATTTAGTCGATAAATTCTTGAAATTGGTTGAATTTGATTATATCGTCTCAATCATTAAAATATGATATATTTGATTTAGGGGTAGTATATTAATAATATTTATCCTAGTCTCCCCAAGAAATTGGGAAAGACCTTTGCTTTAATTTTTTTCAGGGCACCAATCCTGTAGTGAGCTCCTGCATGTACAAGCAATATGCTAGGGCTGTAACCTCTGCCTGGTGTCATTACCTTCATTAACATCAGAGTCTTGATAATAAAAACCCCAGGGCTAGGACTTCTGGCCCAATGTTGGGAAATAAATTCAGCAGCTATGACTTTAGTGACCCAGAGAGTCCACCCAGTCAAAGGTGACTGGTTATATTCAATGAAATTCCTGAACCAAAGGGAAAGCCTCTGTCCCACTGGAAACAGGCCCCCTCTCATGACTGTTCTCATTAGAACTGAATTGAGTTTCTCAGAGAATCCCACAGCCCTCTGCTAAAGAGAGACATGAGCCGTGGGAGCTACTTTTTTGGGTACTGATCCATCTGAATGCTGCCTCTGATCTCAGCAGAGCAGCTTGCTACCTACTACTTCTGTGAGTTTACTAGCCATCTTAGCCTGTGTTCTATTTGTGGTTTTATGGTTTAATCACCTAAGTCTATTCCATCTGAGTTCCTACTTCCTCTTTGCTTTTCCTGCCTTGCTTTTGGTAGTGTGCTTTGGTTCAACCCTCAGCCTACACCTGTGTTCCAGATGAGTCCATCTTACATCCTGACTCAAAAGAGGGGAACCTTATTTTGAAGCCTTTCTCTGGCTTCCTGCTTGCCCTTCTGTGTCCTGCCTGGAGCCTGTCTCTGCCACAGAAAGCAAATTCTGATTTGTTGTCTTCAGTCTGGTCCTCATAAATATTTTTCTAAAGCTTTTCTAGATAAAAAAGAAAGATGACTACCTCATAATTCTGACCCTCTATTTTCTCTGTCCCAGCTGCTGGTCTGGAAGAGAGAAGGCTGGATGCAGGAACACTTTGGCACAGGCTCCTAGGATCCTGGGATCAGGACATAATAAATTTACTTTGAATAAATGGTAATGAGGGTTCTTATTTGCATATGTTCTCATATATTTTTCTCCAAGCACTTTCATATTCATTGTTCTATTTGCTCTTCTTGATCTGGAGTAAAGAAATTACTAGATTACAAATCAAAGTAGGAGCTGAAACAGAAACAATCCAGGTCTTTGCACTTGCTGAGTTTAGAGGTTTAACACTGGGCTTTTTCATACGGTATTTCTGCAAACTTGTTACTTCTTCTGCTGTCCTTGTTTCAGTTAATATCACAATGTACCCCTTTACCCAATTTAGAAACCTCTGAATCATCTTCTATTCCTCTCTATCTCTGCCTACTCACATCTATCAGTCATCAACTTTTTAAATTTTTTTTTTTTACTTTCTCCTCTAAATATTTTCCCAGTCCACCCTTTCTCTACTTCTTTGAGAGGTAGTAAGGGTGTAATTCTGGTCTTTCCCATATATTACTTAGACGGTTAAAATTGCCTTCTAATGAGGTCTTCCCTCGTCCCACCTACTAAGCAAGTTTAATGCAAGCATTTGCAATACTGCTTTTAGGGTAGCCAAGATTGTCTGCTACAGTTTATTTCAAAATTTCTTTCCTCTCCTTGAAGGCTTTATGACCAACAGGATATGTCTAAACTCTTTGGCAAGACTCTCTCCAAAGTCACTTACTTCACTTATCCATCACACAGCCTAGTTTCCATCAAAGGATCTTTTGAATGCCTTCTGGGCTGTACTGAGCTTTTATGTAAGCTTTTCTTACAACCAAAAGGCCCACCCCGCCTATTGTGCAAAAGACGCCTCCTTAGACTTCAAGATATAATTTTAATTTTCCCTCTGCAAGCCTGTCCTTACTCCATCTCCCAGACAGTGGCAACTTTCCCCTAGATTCCAAGTCCATTGTCCATTCTGTACCTTTGTCTCTTGTCACTTGGATGCTGCATATACTTACTGTTGCACTTGTCTAACTCACAGCCAATGCATGGGGGTGAAGCTAGTTCTTACTCCTGTAAGTCTTGTATTCCACTTGCCATTTTTCTTGCTATCACACCAGCCTTCGTAAGTGCCGACATAGTGTGTAACATATATCAAATATGCATTAAATGTTAATTTTCTTGTCCACTCATGAAAGTAAAGCGACTGTCATTTATTTAGTGATTAGTCGTTGAGCTGTATGTACCTTATTGAGACTCAGTATTATTTCCATATTCTTTATAAGGATAATAAGATTTCTTCTCTTTTTGCTTTTTCTTCCAGGACATTGCAAAGTGACTCATTGTCAGTATAACAAATTAACCTGCTATAAATTGTTTATTGATTCTATTGAGTGATTGTGTTGTTCTTCTCAAGCATGATATATCCATTCATTAGGAGCCTTCCAAGGTTTTCCCTTAAACAGTGACATTAATGATTGGATAGCAGTGGGGCAGTGATGTGCTGGAGTCAGATTGTACTGGCTTCTGAGAATCAATTGTTAAGTTTTCATGATTTTTATTACCTGGTTGTTAAAAACAGCCCTCATTAAAAATTAAATTATGTAAACTTACAAAATAAGTTATATTTTAAAAGGCAAACACTCATTACTTTGTAATTATTTTGCAGCATTTAACTATTATCTATATTTTGAAGTTGTACATTTATTGTACCTGTGTAGTATAAATACTATATATATAATAATGTGCTAATGGGCACCTCTTCCCAACTTCATGTTTAAAGACATCACATTGGTAGCTTAAAATTGGCCATGATGAGAGTATTTACACCACAGGCATTAGCAAACATTACAAATCAGGCCTCCTACCTCCAACCCTGCCTTGATTGTTAAACATTTATCAGAACAACATGGCGATAGAGGCATAGTCAGAGTCATTTTTTTTTCAGAAAAAGAAAATACCCAAAGAATATATAGTCATGCATATTCATATATAGTCATATATTCTTTGGGTATTTTCTTTTTCTGAAAAATTCTGCTTATGCCATAATTTTCATGATTTTTTTTCAAATAGTAAAATGTTAAAGACACTTCTATAATGTAAGATCAAACATATACTCTGCCAATATACATCAGCATAGTCATAGTGATAGTCAAATTATAGGCATACTTCTATACTAATTGGCAAAAAATAGAGAAAAACAAAACTCTCAAAACCCATAGAAAACAAAAATCCTGCAGCTCCAAGATCTTCACGGGCTCCTCAGCCACCTAGGTCAGCCAATCCCTTCGTTAGGATTTCTGGGACCACGAGGGAGCAATGAAATGATCAATGCCTGGCCCAAGAGGGACTTTCCAAAGCCTGACCCTGAACCAGACTTTCAGCCTTTTACTATTTAAGGCACACGAAGGACAGAGGAGAGATCATTTTAGATCGGGAGTTTTTCTTGTTGGTTGTCAAAGTATGCCATGTAAACAATCACCTATTTAACTGACACATAGCACCAGTCTGAAAGCCCAGTCTTTATCCTCCTCTGTTGAAAAAGGTTCTTTAGTTCATGGAACAGTGTATTCTGTGCATTACACACGGCAGTGGGGGGTGATTTTTGTCCAACACAGTGATTCTCTGCATTGGCTGCATATATGAGTCTTCCGAGGAGCTCCTAGAAAAAATAACAACTTCCTGGCCCTAATTAAATTAGAGCCTATTGGGGGTGTGAGAGAGCGCCCTGACATTATCATTCTTTACAAGCTCTCTGCATGCTTCCAATAAGCAGCTGATTTAATATGAAGAATGAGGCCAGAGATTAGTAGTCCCTACATCTCAGCTGGAATTCTACCAGGTACCAGCTGTGTGATACTGGCCAAGTTGAACTCTGTGAGTCTCAGTTTCCATATTTGTGCAATGGGAATAATAATAACCTGCTTCACAGAGTGCTCTAGAAATTATGTGAAAGTGTGAGGGAGAGCAGTTTCTGAGTGGTAAAGTACTAAACAATACAAGTGACGTTGGCTACAACCACATCCCTGCCTTGCCCAACAAATTAGCTTGCTGCCAAGTTGCATATGTCAGTGTTACAGTGCTTTCTTTTTTCTTTTTTTGGAGATAGAATCTCACTCTTTTGCCCAGGCTGGAGTGCAGTGGCGCAATCTCAGCTCACTGCAACCTCCACCTCCCAGGTTCAAGCCATTTTCCCACCTCAGCCTCCCGAGTAACTGGGCTTACAGATGCGTGCCACCATGCCTGGCTAATTTTTGTATTTTTAGTAGAGACGGGATTTCACCGTGTTGGCCAGACTGGTCTCAAACTCCTGACTTTGGGTGATCTGCCCACCTCAGCCTCCCAAAATGCTGAGATTATGGGTGTGAGCCACCACGTCCAGCCTAGAGTGCTTTCTTAACAATAGCCAAAACCCTCTGCCTAGGTCTGGGGAGATGAATAACACTAATATTTTTAAGCACACCTGTGTAATTGTGGAATCTGGTTTGAATGCACATCACCCTCCAACAATATGTTCGAAAGCCAGCTAAGCTACCGGCCTCTGTAACATCACAGGGCAGGGAGCTCCAAAGGTTAATTACAATTGGATGCTCCTATACCATTTTGAATGCCCCGCTGTTACATGTCACCCAGTGTCCCCTGGTTCTCTTTCATGGACCTGGAAAGCCAATCATCCCCATGACCTTTGGTTCTCTTCCCTTTATTTTAGAAGCAAATACATTTTAGCTTCCAGGATTAGACAGCTAGGAAATTGTGAACACTATGTTCCAATCCCTTTGTTTGCTGAAACTTGAAGGATCCTGGCTAGATGCTTACATGTATGAGAATAACAGATAAAAAGAGTTGCAATTTAACTTTGAGACCAGACTAATTTTGAGAGACTGAGTCCTGAAGTACTTTTTTTCAGTCACAAAAGCTTCAGAAGGGCAGAAGAAAGGCTTGACTCAGTAACCCAGGAATGTAGCAGCTGATGTTCGAGGACAAGCTGGTGTATGCAGGAGCACCAGATGTCCCGACAGAAGAAAGCGGATGCCACAGATTGGGAAGAGCTGTGGCAGGGGAGAGAGCCAACTCAGATTTCTTCTTCTGACTAATTCTGATTTTCTGATTAATGAATGCTTATAATAAAAAAATCATCATCACAGAAAGGGGAAATACATCTACAATACCCATGATTATACTGCACCGAACATCACTTTAAGTTTTGAAGTATAATTCTTTGGGTATTTTCTCTTTCTGAAAAATTCTGCTTATGCCATCATTTTCATAATTTTTTTCAAATAGTAAAATGTTAAAGACACTTCTATAAGACCAGACATAATACTCTTTGCCTTTCTTTCTACTCTCTCTCTCCACACACACACACACACACACACACACAGAGAGAGACAGAGAGAGAGAGACAGAGAGAGAGAGAGAGAGAGAGAATGTCCTAGGTACTGAGCTGTGTGCTAATTTTTAATAAGAGCAATTTTGTGTCAGTCTTATCACAGAATTCCTCAGCTGTCAGGGATAGCCAGAGTTCATCAGCAAGCCCTTCTGTGCTAGGAAGGTCTCAAGTTTGCATCCACAATAATCCCACAAAGCATACATTGCAGTATCTGTATCACTCTCTGCTTCTCATCTTGGAAAACTGAGCAAGGTTAAAAATACCTTCACTCCAAATGATGTTAGCTGCAAAGCAGATCCAACCATAGCTCTGCCCCCCACTCGGTCCTAGCCAGCTGTGAAAGGGCCTAATGAGCAGGCTCTGGGAGAGAGCTGCTGGGGGCGTGTGGCTGGAGTCCTCCACGTCCATCCACTAGCCGATGGTCATCAGCAGGTTGGAGGAAGGTAATTGCCCTTGCAACTTCTTTTAGCAGCCACAGTAAAGGTCCTGCATAAATACCCAGGTCTGGATGCAGGAATAGAATTGCCACACTGCAAAAGTCAAGTGAGTTTATCAACTGGGTCAGCTTCTGTCTTTCCCTATGGGATCCAGGAGATATTAATAAATTTGAGAAATTATTAGGTACCAAATGTCCAATGGGCCTTCCCTCAAGTCTGTATCAGCCCACCTATGTTTTCCAGTGTGGAATCCCACTCCTCACTAACTGCATCCTCTACAGGCAGCCTTGGAGGATACCCTGTGCTCCTGCAGCAGGTCTACTCCCTAGCTCCACTCTTGATGCACATGTTGTGAGATGTCCCCAACAACCGATGGGCATTTCTTAGGAGGGTTGAAGGATATACATTTTCTTTTAGGCTTGATACCATATGTGGATATGGTTCTTACTAGTCCGTGGACATGCATTTATTTATCATCCACTTAATTCCCTGTTTAAAGAGATTTATAGAATGCTTCACAGGTACTTATGAAGTACTTCAGGGAACACAGAGAGCTATAGGACATGGTCTTTCCCCTGAAGAAGCCTCCATTCTGGAGGTATAAAACAGAGACATACTAAACATATCAGTAGCCAAGGAAGAATATGATTGAACATCATATTTGATGGAAACTGAAGGGGTCTGAAGGGCTATATGTCACCTTTGATAAATTGATGAAAATGATCTGGCTGGCCTGGAGTAGGGGGAAGGAGAGAGGTATATTCCTCAAACAGAACTGAGCAAAGAACACGCTAGGTCCATGAGACAATGAAGAAACTGGACAAGTCCAGGGAAGAAAGGTATGTTGGCTGCTATCTACATGTGGCATGGGTGGAATTAAATCCTGAAGGAAGGGAAAAGACAGTAAAGGGGAAAGGGGGAGCTGCTTGGTAAGTTCAAAGAAATTTAAACTTGAATGTCTCCCATTGCCCTGGGGTATCGTTACTTCAACAAAGGCTATTACAAAATTAAATTATTCTCTTCTGCATGGCTTAACCTTATTCCTCCTAATGTCTTCTTTCGTTGGAGGTCAGTAACTTCAGGTCAGTGGTGGAGATGGTTAAGCATTATGGAGCGTTTTACAACTATTTGGCCTAGTTTGGGAGAGTAGGGTAATAAAGACACTGACTTTTAACTAAATTTTCAATAATGCTGCTAGGTGGAATGGAGTCTGGTCATTTTCTCTCCCTGTAACCAACTCTATGTGTTTTAAATCTGGTGGGTCATGAAATTGAACAGGCTCCTCAGGATTTTCCCCTAGATCCTTATCCCCACCAGTTCAGTGGACCAACCTAGAAGTGATAAACCTCAGAGAATATTAGTAATTTAGTCCTAATGCAACACTGATCAGTTAAAATATGCTGTATTCCCTGAGGTTTCCCACTTTCCCTCCACAAATGCTCTGCTTAGACCATTGAGAGATGAATAAATCCTGGTGGTATCTTTGTGATGAATCTTCTGGCTTTGTTGCCAGTAATTAGAATCAAAGGTTTGAGTCTCTCTTGGTATTCAAGTTATAGCATTCATTCTAAATCTCCTGGGCTGAAAGGTCTAGAGTAGAGTTAGAGAAGATCTGATTCATTCCCTTTATATGATATCTGAGGAAACTCAAGACTCGAAAGGGAAAGTGACAGTTTATGCTTCATTAAGGGATGACAGAGTTGGTCCAAGCCTTAATTGCCTGTTTCTACTTGACTGTGCTACTCCTGCCTTCAGCTCAGTCCCCATCTGGCTGTCCACCTCTCCCATTACCATTTATCAAATAACCGTGTAAAAAATATTTAAATGAAAAATTTAAGTCACTAATAATTCCTCTATAGTAATAAAACTACGGTTACTATTTTAAATTATATCTCCTCAATTTTTTGTGTGTGCATATGGGCTACTGGGTACATAACATGTATCTTTCGCTCAAATGGAATCACCATTACATTTGTTTTGTAACCTATTTTCTTTTTGTCTACATTTATCATGAGCATCTTTTCACATCACCAATTATAGACTGGCATCTTTATATTTAAAGATTGCATTGCATTCTGTCTTGTGGATGAATCATAATAGTGAAATACAATATCCTACTGCTGTATTTAAAAATTATTTTTAGTTGCAGCCTATTTCCATTTATTTCCTTAGGACCAATTCCAACAAGTGGAATTTTTAAGTCAAAGGATATGTGCATTCGTTGAGACTTTTGATATATAGACCAAAATGCCCTCTGGGAAAGTTGGAACAATTTACAATCTCACTAGGAATATAGTAGGAGAACATTCTTTCCCCATACCCTCAAACACAGTGAACACTAACATTTTTGCTCATCCTTTATAATCTGATAGATTAACCATTTTAAGCTCTTCCTATATGAATTTGCATTCCTTGATAACTAGTGAATTAAATTTTTTTCCCACAAGTTCATTGATCATTTGTAGAATGGAAATATTTTCCTGAAAATAATAGGCACAGATTTTCTGCAAAACACTAACTTTCACTGATCTAATTAAAAGAGTATTGAAAGGATGAATTAACCAGTTTATTAAACCCAGTACACATAAGCTAGTGATTTCATTCTTCATTGCCCTTCAAGATTCTTTGAGACTGAAAACTAAGAAGAAACAAATGAACCCATGTGAATAGCAAGGTGCCTTTATATTCCTAAAGCTGCACAGGAATTGGCTTACACACAGAAGTTTACAGCATAACTAGATTGATATGATTCTTATTTTGTTTTGTTTTACTGTTTCCTGGACAATAACAATTATGATTTAAAACTTGGCCAAATCCTATAGAGGCCCCTCTGATACTGTTTCTTTCTGTGGGCATAACACCTGGATGAGTCAGTTAACTTTCCACTTCTACCAAGTCTATAATCACTTGAATGCTATCCTTTGGCCGGCTACAGCCAATTGCAGCTGATCAACATTTTTCTAAGCACACTAAATTATGTGCATAAAAAATAATAGCCACCCATCTTTGTCCAAGTAGACTTTTCTTACTTAGCCTGTATATAATTCTCTATCAAATAGTCACTATGGAGATGTGTATATTAAATAGACATGTGTATCTATTTATGCCTGGATCCTTATGACAGTGACAGAAACAAAAGTGATGGTAACATTTTATTGGAACGTGGTTCCCTTTGTCTCCAGGGAATCTTGTATGTTGTAAATAATATATACAATAAAATTATTAAAGAAAAAATTTTAAAACAGAAATAAATCAGGGCCCTCATCTGTGGAGCTCCCAGCACCTTGCAGAGGTGTTCCCTCTTCTTTGTCCTCATAACTTTGTTTTCCTCCAGTATTATTCTAAGATTTTTGTATATTTATCTTACAGGGATCTATCTCCTTTATTGAATTAGGGGCATCTTAGAAATGAGTATTTATTTCTTTTTATAGCTCTCAGCACTTAGTAGCTGATTCATAAATATTGCTTTAAGAATTCAACTGGCTTCTCAATGGAGGATGCAAAGAGGTAGGGACAGGTCTTCAGAATAACACCTTTTGGATGCAGTCAGGAGCTAGAGGGAAATTCAGAATTGCCTAAACGGATATGGTCTCTGGACAGGGAGTGACATGTCCAACTTTGTCTTCTCCAATTTTGTCTTAAGATAGTCCTATGGGCTGCTGATTCCTAAACTCTTGGATGTCACACAATTAGAAAAATTTCAAAATGGGTAACTTGGCCACGTAAAAAAAAGCAACAAATGTTTATTATCATCTCTTATGAAAAATTCAAGAAATTTTGATACCCACCAAAGAGGAGACACATACTATAAGGATATGGGACAGCTTAAAAAAATGAATGCATTTAGCCTGAAGAACACTCCACATTGTATTTATTGTTCTGTTTTACTGGTGGATTTGTGAAAATGTCTTTACACAAAGCACCAGTGGCAGATTGGCATTTAGAAACCATTAGTGTGGCTCGATATTTGGGATGAGTGAGGAGGTACTGGTTTGAGTGCAGAGGGGTCTCCTCTGACAGGTGGACATGCATCTTCTTTCTGGCCATGGGGATAAATTCCAAAGAGGAGACCCTGTGAGGATGGGGATCATGTTCCTCTCATTCTTTATGGCATAAGAGAGAGATTCAGTGTGGCAGTTTTATTGCTGTTGTTAAAGGGGATCACTTGGGCTTCATAATGGATGGGTCTGAGGACTCCCTCAATGTCCTCTAAAGTACTCTCTGACTTTATAATTTTGATATTAATTAGACAAGCTCCTGGAAATCTATTGCAGTGGTGACATTAGCCATTGCTCTGTCAGGAGTTGAAAATAAATAAAAAAGAGGCTCTGGTTTCTAAATTCCTCTTATCTAGAGGAAGCAGTGCATCATATTTGGAGACACTAATTTTGAGTCAAGTAGAAGTCTGAGAAATTATTGTCATTCATTTTTGGGGTCATTCGTTTCTCCCCAAATGCCTTAGCTAGAAGTTTATAGACACTAGGGGGAGATCCTGACAAAAGAGGAAAGATGGTTAAGGAAAGGAGACTCCATGGTATAGCCGTGGAAAGGGCTCTCCATAGACTATTCTTGATGTCTCTTTTCTTCTTCCTTGTCTTAGTTCGGTTTCCGTCAGAGCCAGAGCCTGATGTGAGGATTCAAGTGCAAATAGTTTAATGGGAGATACAAGAAGGACCTGCAGGGTGTGCAGGGGGAAGAAGTGAGACAGGGAAGGGAGGGCAGCCAGTAAAAGGTACACTGTTAAGCCAGCTACCACACTTGCACACTGGACTTTGATCTTATGGGGGAATGCTGGAAAGTGTTTCAGAATTATCCAGGTCAAGGGATGAGAGATGAAGTATAGCTCCAAGCTAGTTATTACTGGTTAAGAGCTGTCCCTGGGGGGTGCTAATTCCCAGATAATTCTGGTCTATATTGCTGCATGCAAATGGGTTTTGGCAGCCCTGGGCTATGCTCTGCCAGCTGTGAAAGTGCTGGCTATTGGAAGTTAGGACAACATGCCTCTAGAAGTTAAGGAATCCAAGAGACGTGGCTGGGCCTCCTCCCATGGATTGGATACACTCTCATATTTTACTCTACAATTAAAATGATAAAAGATAATGTGCGATATCTCTATACAAAAGAATGAAGTTGGACTTTTACCTAAGAAGATTTACAAAAAGTAATTCAAAATGAATCAAAGACCAAAAGGTAAGCCCTGAAACTGTAAAACTCTTAGAAAAAAACATTGGGCAAAAGCTTCATGGCACTGAATTTGGCAGTGGTTTCTTGGATATGATATAAAAGGCAGAGGCAACAACAACAACAAAACAGACAAATGTGACTTTATAAAACCTTTAAAAAATTCTGTGCATCAAAAGATACTATCAGCAGAGTTAAAATACTAGCTACAGAATGGGAGAAAATATCAGCAAGTTATGTTTCTGATAAGGGATTAATATCCAGAAGAGATGAGAACTCCTGAAAGTAATCAACAACAAGGAAAACCACAGCCCAATTCCAAAATGAGCAAAGGACTGGAATGGACAATTATCCAAAGAAGATACAAAATTGGCCAATAAGCACATGAAAAAATGCTCAATATTACTAAACATAAAAGGAAAATGTGAATCAAAAGCACTACATGATACCACTTCATACCCATTAGAATGTCTTCTATCAGAAAATAAGAAAAACAACAAGTATTAGCGAGGATATGGGCAGAGCCCCCAACAGGTGGCAATGTAAAATGGCACAGACACTGTAAAATACAGTATGGAAGTTTTTTTTAAAAAAAAATTAAAAACAGAATTATATGATCCAGTGATTCACTTCCAGTAGTATACCCAAAAGAATTGAAGGTAGAATATTGAGAGCAGGGTATGGAAAACATATGTGTACACCCATGTATATAACAGCACTATCCATGATAGCTAAAACATGGAAGCAACCCAAGTTCCATCAACAGATGCATGGATAAGCAAAATATGGTGTATACATACAGTAGACTATGATCCAGCATTAGGAGGGAAATTCTTACATATACCACAACATGGATGAACCTAGAGAGCATAATGCTAAGTGAAACAAGTCAGTCACACAAAAAAAATCCACAAATACTGTATAATTCAATTTATATGAGATACTTAGAGTAGTCAAACTAATAGAGACATTAAGTAGAATGGTTGTTGCCAGAGACTGAGGGGAGGAGGGAATAGAGAGTTATTGTTCATGGGTACAGAGTTTCAGTTTTATAAGATGAAAGAGTTGTGGAGATGGATGGTGGATATGGCTGTACCACATTATAAATGTATTTAATACAACTGAATGGTATATTTAAAATTGGCAAAGAGGGTAAATCTTACATGTATTTTAACACAATAACATAAAATTGTGATAAAAAGAGATAATGCACTAAGAGAGAAAAAAGTCAGATGCAGAGGATCTCCAGGTGCGAATGAGTCATGCACAGATTAAAGACCGTGACCTTTGTTAATGCAGACAAATGAGGAACAAAGATGAACAAGACACAAACAAAAAGTACCCTTGTTAATTATTTACATTTCCACTTGTTGCATTTATTTTTCTCTAAGGATTTAGTGTTTCTGTAAAATATTTTGCAATATTTCTTTTAATGGTGTAAGGTAAGCTAAATGTCAAGTTCGAGAGTTTTTATCCTTGCTTTCTACGTATTGCTGCCATAATCACTTCTCCTAAGTTAGCTGTATGTAAATCCTCATTTCTGAAAATGATGCTCACTTGCACAGAAATATCAAACATAAAATATTTTTTATAGTAGATAACACATAAAATGCAATGAACTGACTATAAACATTCAACCATCTCTATATCCCACAGATATTTATTCAGCACCAACTGCATGCCAGACAATGTGTTAGGCATTAGGAATGAGGAGCAGTAAAGATGTTGTTAAGAACTCATCTGATAATCATCTGGAATCTAGTTCTGGTGTAGTGAAAGAATGAGAAATAAAACTGTAGATTCTGTGTGTTAATGTTGCATGAAAGAGCAGCTCCTGGATCTGAGGAGGGTGATGACAACAGTCTCCATTTTCTGTAGGATTCTCCCCCACAGGAAATATGCTGAGTTAAAAAGCAAAATTTCTTCTAGCCCATCCACTGATTGTGCACTGGTCTGTACCGGACACCAGAAGAATAGAAAGGAAGGAAATACTGATTGATTTGCATTGATTTGTGCCCCTTCAAGTTGATATATTGGAGCTATAACCCCCAAGGTGATGGTATTTGGAGATGAGGCCTTTAGAAGCTAATTAAGTTTCAATGAGGTTATGAGGGTGGGGCCCTCATGATGGGATTAGCATCCTTATTAGGAGAGAAAGTGACTAGAGCTTACTTTCTCTCTCTCTGTGCCATGAGGGGGCACAGTGAGAAGGCTGCCATTTGCAAACTAGGAAGAGGATCCTCAGTTCTCATAGAAACCAAGTCCAAGTCCACCAGTGCCTTGATCTTAGAGTTGCCAGCCTCCAGAGCTATGAGAAACAGTGTCTATTCCTTAAGCCACACAGTCTCTGATATTTTGTTACCGCAACTGAAGTTAAGATATATTTTTACAGGGAGGAGCCAAGATGGCCGAATAGGAACAGCTCCGGTCTACAGCTCCCAGCATGAGCGACGCAGAAGACGGGTGATTTCTGCATTTCCATCTGAGGTACCCGGTTCATCTCAGTAGGGAGTGCCAGACAGTGGGCGCAGGCCAGTGGGTGCGCGCACCCTGCGCGAGCCGAAGCAGGGCGAGGCATTGCCTCACCTGGGAAGCGCAAGGGGTCAGGGAGTTCCCTTTCTGAGTCAAAGAAAGGGGTGACGGACGCACCTGGAAAATCGAGTCACTCCCACCTGAATATTGCGCTTTTCAGACCGGCTTAAAAAACGGTGCACCACGAGACTATATCCCACACCTGGCTCGGAGGGTCCTACGCCCATGGAGTCTCGCTGATTGCTAGCACAGCAGTCTGAGATCAAACTGCAAGGCGGCAGCGAGGCTGGGGGAGGGGCGCCCGCCATTGCCCAGGCTTGCTTAGGTAAACAAAGCAGCTGGGGAAGCTCGAACTGGGTGGAGCCCACCACAGCTCAAGGAGACCTGCCTGCCTCTGTAGGCTCCACCTCTGGGGGCAGGGCACAGACAAACAAAAAGACACCAGTAACCTCTGCAGACTTAAATGTCCCTGTCTGACAGCTTTGAAGAGAGCAGTGGTTCTCCCAGCACGCAGCTGGAGATCTGAGAACGGGCAGACTGCCTCCTCAAGTGGGTCCCTGACCCCTGACCCCCGAGCAGCCTAACTGGGAGGCACCCCCCAGCAGGGGCACACTGACACCTCACACGGCAGGGTATTCCAACAGACCTGCAGCTGAGGGTCCTGTCTGTTAGAAGGAAAACTAACAAACAGAAAGGACATCCACACCGAAAACCCATCTGTACATCACCATCATCAAAGACCAAAAGTAGATAAAACCACAAAGATGGGGAAAAAACAGAACAGAAAAACTGGAAACTCTAAAACGCAGAGCGCCTCTCCTCCTCCAAAGGAACGCAGTTCCTCACCAGCAACGGAACAAAGCTGGATGGAGAATGATTTTGACGAGCTGAGAGAAGAAGTCTTCAGACGATCAAATTACTCTGAGCTACGGGAGGACATTCAAACCAAAGGCAAAGAAGTTGAAAACTTTGAAAAAAATTTAGAAGAATGTATAACTAGAATAACCAATACAGAGAAGTGCTTAAAGGAGCTGATGGAGCTGAAAACCAAGGCTTGAGAACTACGTGAAGAATGCAGAAGCCTCAGGAGCCGATGCGATCAACTGGAAGAAAGGGTATCAGCAATGGAAGATGAAATGAATGAAATGAAGCGAGAAGGGAAGTTTAGAGAAAAAAGAATAAAAAGAAATGAGCAAAGCCTCCAAGAAATATGGGACTATGTGAAAAGACCAAATCTACGTCTGATTGGTGTACCTGAAAGTGATGCGGAGAATGGAACCAAGTTGGAAAACACTCTGCAGGATATTATCCAGGAGAACTTCCCCAATCTAGCAAGGCAGGCCAACGTTCAGATTCAGGAAATACAGAGAATGCCACAAAGATACTCCTCGAGAAGAGCAACTCCAAGACACATAATTGTCAGATTCACCAAAGTTGAAATGAAGGAAAAAATGTTAAGGGCAGCCAGAGAGAAAGGTCGGGTTACCCTCAAAGGGAAGCCCATCAGACTAACAGCGGTTCTCTTGGCAGAAACCCTACAAGCCAGAAGAGAGTGGGGGCCAATATTCAACATTCTTAAAGAAAAGAATTTTCAACCCAGAATTTCATATCCAGCCAAACTAAGCTTCATAAGTGAAGGAGAAATAAAATACTTTACAGACAAGCAAATGCTGAGAGATTTTGTCACCACCAGCCCTGCCCTAAAGGAAGCCCTCCTGAAGGAAGCGCTAAACATGGAAAGGAACAACCGGTACCAGCCGCTGCAAAATCATGCCAAAATGTAAAGACCATCGAGACTAGGAAGAAACTGCATCAACTAATGAGCAAAATCACCAGCTAACATCATAATGACAGGATCAAATTCACACATAACAATATTAACTTTAAATGTAAATGGACTAAATTCTCCAATTAAAAGACACAGACTGGCAAGTTGGATAAAGAGTCAAGACCCATCAGTGTGCTGTATTCAGGAAACCCATCTCACGTGCAGAGACACACATAGGATCAAAATAAAAGGATGGAGGAAGATCTACCAAGCAAATGGAAAACAAAAAAAGGCAGGGGTTGCAATCCTAGTCTCTGATAAAACAGACTTTAAACCAACAAAGATCAAAAGAGAAAAAGAAGGCCATTACATAATGGTAAAGGGATTAATTCAACAAGAGGAGCTAACTATCCTAAATATATATGCACCCAATACAGGAGCACCCAGATTCATAAAGCAAATCCTGAGTGACCTACAAAGAGACTTAGACTCCCACACATTAATAATGGGAGACTTTAACACCCCACTGTCAACATTAGACAGATCAAAGAGACAGAAAGTCAACAAGGATACCCAGGAATTGAACTCAGCTCTGCACCAAGCGGACCTAATAGACATCTACAGAACTCTCCACCCCAAATCAACAGAATATATATTTTTTTCAGCACCACACCACACCTATTCCAAAATTGACCACATAGTTGGAAGTAAAGCTCTCCTCAGCAAATGTAAAAGAACAGAAATTATAACAAACTATCTCTCAGACCACAGTGCAATCAAACTAGAACTCAGGATTAAGAATCTCACTCAAAGCCGCTCAACTACATGGAAACTGAACAACCTGCTCCTGAATGACTACTGGGTACATAACGAAATGAAGGCAGAAATAAAGATGTTCTTTGAAACCAACGAGAACAAAGACACAACATAACAGAATCTCTGGGACGCATTCAAAGCAGTGTGTAGAGGGAAATTTATAGCACTAAATGCCCACAAGAGAAAGCAGGAAAGATCCAAAATTGACACCCTAACATCACAATTAAAAGAACTAGAAAAGCAAGAGCAAACACATTCAAAAGCTAGCAGAAGGCAAGAAATAACTAAAATCAGAGCAGAACTGAAGGAAATAGAGACACAAAAAACCCTTCAAAAAATCAATGAATCCAGGAGCTGGTTTTTTGAAAGGATCAACAAAATCGATAGACCGCTAGCAAGACTAATAAAGAAAAAAAGAGAGAAGAATCAAATAGACACAATAAAAAATGATAAAGGGGATATCACCACCAATCCCACAGAAATACAAACTACCATCAGAGAATACTACAAACACCTCTACACAAATAAACTAGAAAACCTAGAAGAAATGGATACATTCCTCGACACCTACACTCTCCCAAGACTAAACCAGGAAGAAGTTGAATCTCTGAATAGACCAATAACAGGAGCTGAAATTGTGGCAATAATCAATAGTTTACCAACCAAAAAGAGTCCAGGACCAGATGGATTCACAGCCGAATTCTTCCAGAGGTACAAGGAGGAACTGGTACCATTCCTTCTGAAACTATTCCAATCAATAGAAAAAGAGGGAATCCTCCCTAACTCATTTTATGGGGCCAGCATCATTCTGATACCAAAGCCGGGCAGAGACACAACCAAAAAAGAGAATTTTAGACAAATATCCCTGATGAATAGCGATGCAAAAATCCTCAATAAAATACTGGCAAACTGAATCCAGCAGCACATCAAAAAGCTTATCCACCATGATCAAGTGGGCTTCATCCCTGGGATGCAAGGGTGGTTCAATATACGCAAATCAATAAATGTAATCCAGCATATAAACAGAGCCAAAGACAAAAACCACATGATTATCTCAATAGATGCAGAAAAAGCCTTTGACAAAATTCAACAACCCTTCATGCTAAAAACTCTCAATAAATTAGGTATTGATGGGACGTATTTCAAAATAATAAGAGCTATCTATGACAAACCCACAGTCAATATCATACTGAATGGGCAAAAACTGGAAGCATTCCCTTTGAAAACGGGCACAAGACAGGGATGCCCTCTCTCACCACTCCTGTTCAACATAGTGTCGGAAGTTCTGGCCAGGGCAATCAGGCAGGAGAAGGAAATAAAGGGTATTCAATTAGGAAAAAAGAGGAAGTCAAATTGTCCCTGTTTGCAGACGACATGATTGTTTATCTAGAAAACCCCATCGTCTCAGCCCAAAATCTCCTTAAGCTGATAAGCAACTTCAGCAAAGTCTCAGGATACAAAATCAATGTACAAAAATCACAAGCATTCTTATACACCAACAACAGACAAACAGAGAGCCAAATCATGAGTGAACTCCCATTCACAATTGCTTCAAAGAGAATAAAATACCTAGGAATCCAACTTACAAGGGATGTGAAGGACCTCTTCAAGGAGAACTACAAACCACTGCTCAAGGAAATAAAAGAGGATACAAACAAATGGAAGAACATTCCATGCTCATGGGTAGGAAGAATCAATATCGTGAAAATGGCCATACTGCCCAAGGTAATTTACAGATTCAATGCCATCCCCATCAAGCTACCAATGACTTTCTTCACAGAATTGGAAAAAACTACTTTAAAGTTCATATGGAACCAAAAAAGAGCCCACATCGCCAAGTCAATCCTAAGCCAAAAGAACAAAGATGGAGGCATCACACTACCTGACTTCAAACTATACTACAAGGCTACAGTAACCAAAACAGCATGGTACTGGTACCAAAACAGAGATATAGATCAATGGAACAGAACAGAGCCCTCAGAAATAACGCCGCATACCTACAACTATCTGATCTTTGACAAACCTGAGAAAAACAAGCAATGGGGAAAGGATTCCCTATTTAATAAATGGTGCTGGGAAAACTGGCTAGCCATATGTAGAAAGCTGAAACTGGATCCCTTCCTTACACCTTATACAAAAATCAACTCAAGATGGATTAAAGATTTAAACGTTAGACCTAAAACCATAAAAACCCTAGAAGAAAACCTAGGCATTACCATTCAGGACATAGGCGTGGGCAAGGACTTCATGTCCAAAACACCAAAAGCAATGGCAACAAAAGCCAAAATTGACAAATGGGATCTAATTAAACTAAAGAGCTTCTGCACAGCAAAAGAAACTACCATCAGAGTGAACAGGCAACCTACAACATGGGAGAAAATTTTCGCAACCTACTCATCTGACAAAGGGCTAATATCCAGAATCTACAATGAACTCAAACAAATTTACAAGAAAAAAACAAACAACCCCATCAAAAAGTGGGCGAAGGACATGAACAGACACTTCCCAAAAGAAGACATTTATGCAGCCAAAAAACACATGAAAAAATGCTCATCATCACTGGTCATCAGAGAAATGCAAATCAAAACCACTATGAGATATCATCTCACACCAGTTAGAATGGCAATCATTCAAAAGTCAGGAAAAAACAGGTGCTGGAGAGGATGTGGAGAAATAGGAACACTTTGACACTGTTGGTGGGACTGTAAACTAGTTCAACCATTGTGGAAGTCAGTGTGGCGATTCCTCAGGGATCTAGAACTAGAAATACCATTTGACCCAGCCATCCCATTACTGGGTATATACCCAAATGACTATAAATCATGCTGCTGTAAAGTCACATGCACATGTATGTTTATTGTGGCATTATTCACAATAGCAAAGACTTGGAACCAACCCAAATGTCCAACAATGATAGACTGGATTAAGAAAATGTGGCACATATACACCATGGAATACTATGCAGCCATAAAAAATGATGAGTTCATGTCCTTTGTAGGGACATGGATGAAATTGGAAACCATCATTCTCAGTAAACTATCGCAAGAACAAAAAACCAAACACCGCATATTCTCACTCATAGGTGGGAATTGAACAATGAGATCACATGGACACAGGAAGGGGAATATCACACTCTGGGGACTGTGGTGGGGTGAGGGGAGGGGGGAGGGATAGCATTGGGAGATATACCTAATGCTAGATGACGAGTTAGTGGGTGCAGCGCACCAGCGTGGCACATGTATATATATGTAACTAACCTGCACAATGTGCACATGTACCCTAAAACTTAAAGTATAAAAAAAAAAAAAAGTTAAAAAAAAAAAGATATATTTTTACATAAAATATCATATGTCTGTGAGTAGATATCATGTCCATTTTATGAACAAGGAAATGAAGCCCAGGAAAGTTAAATAATAACCCATGGTCAAAGTGCATGTTCCAAATCTAAGAGTCAAATACAGGTGGTCATCCAGTGCTAAGCCTATCGCTCTGTTCACCATGACATGAATCTGATTGCTTTGACTGGTGAATGTTATGATTTTATTTCGGAATCTTCATTAATTAGACATGCAACCTCAAGTGAGTAGTTTTTAACCTCTCAGTCAGTTCACCAATTTATAAATGGAAATAATAGTACTTTAACTTATATTTCATATATGTGAAGGGAATTTTTTTCCTTCCTACATTCTTTCCCTTAAGGTCTAATACAAGCTCTCTGCCCTCCCTCTAGTTTCCTAAAAACAGGACATACGTTGACAAATACAAAAGGTATCCTGCCCGCTTCTCTACCAGGAAGAACAAATGTTAACTACTGAAGACATCTTTGAATGCTTAGCAGCCTAAAGATTGTACCAGAGAAGTAGTGCAAGAGGGCATCCTTGTCTTGTGCCAGTTTTCAAGGAGAATGCTTCCAGCTTTTGCCCATTCAGTATGATATTGTCTATGGGTTTGTCATAAATGGCTCTTATTATTTTGAGATATGTTCCATCAATACCTAGTTTACTGGGAGTTTTTTTTTTTACGTTGAATTTTATCAAAGGCCTTTTCTGCATCTATTGAGATAATCATGTGGTTTTTGTCATTAGTTCTGTTTGTGTGATAAACTATATTTATTGATTTGCAAATGTTGAACCAGCCTTGCATCCCAGGGATGAAGCTGACTTGACCATAGTGGATAAGCTTTTTGATGTGCTGCTGGATTTGGTTTGCCAGTATTTTATTGAGGATTTTTGCACTGATGTTCATCAGGGATGATGGCCTGAAGTTTTCTTTTTTTGTTGTATCTCTGTCAGGTTTTGGTATCGGGAGGATGCTGGTCTCATAAAATGATTTAGAGAGGAGTTCCTGTTTTTCAACTAGCCTTTAACTGTCAGTTGTTTGCCTTCCCTCAAGCTGCCATCCCTGGAGACTCAAAATCCTTTTCTTTTGTCTGGTCACTTCTCTAAAAATTTACTGTTCTTTGTTGAAGATGTGTATAAGCTGAAATTCAAAGTCACCTCTTGGAGAACTACCCATTTCCTGGGTGTTTTCCATGTACATAGGAAATATACATATTCGTAAACTTCTGTTTGTTCTTCTCTTGTTAATCTGTCTCATTCCAGGGGTCCACTTTGACTAAAAGCCTATTGTTGAAAAAAATTATTATTTTTCCCCTTAGTAGCCATTTGTGTCTGGCTTATTTAACTCATGGTAATGCATATAAAATTTATCCATGTTGTTGCCTGTGTCACTAGTAGTTCCTTTATATTGCTCAGTAGTATTCCATTGTTTGGATGTGCTGCAGTTTGCTCATTTAGGGTGTGCTTTAAAAAAATGAAATAATATCTAACTATATATTTATGGTCATTAACCATTTCCACTTCCTATTCCTGCCCCACTACTATTACCAGTCTCTGGTAGCCGTCATTCTACTTTCTATCTCTATGAGTTCAATCGTTTTAATTTTTAGCTCCTGCAAATAAGTGAGAACATAATAACTAGTATTTGGTAGCACAATAGGGTAGCTACAGTCAGCAATAATTTGTTGTACATTTTAGAATAACTGAGGGAGTACAATTGGAATGTTCATAACTCAAAGAAATGAGTGCTTGAGGTGATGGATACCTCACTTACTCTGATGTGATTACACACTCTATACATGTACCAGAAGAGCTCATCTACCCCATAAATATATATACCTACTATGTACCTACAAAATTAAAAAAAAAACTGAAATGATATACGTCAAAGCTTTGGAACTATTAAGTCTATACAAACTAAGATGCATAGCTTGTTTATCTGCTTGGTTTTGTGGGAGTACTCCAGTAAATACAGACTTTTTATGAAAAGCTTTGTCTTTCCCTAAAAAGACTTGTTCTATTGGACACTTAGGAAAAGAAAAGACTAAATCATAGGACAATGTTAGACTAAAGTTTGACCTTAAGCTTTCAAGGCAACAGTCCTGAGGGGGCTGGATTTTGTGGACAGTTGTGTCATTCTTGGCTCCCAAGTGTCTCAGATCTCCATGCTGTCCAACTGGCCCATGTGTTTTCATTGGCTCCATCCTCACCCTCTGCCTAGGTCATGGGGAGTATGATGCAAGGTCTCTCGTCTTTTAGTCGCTTGCCTCTGGTGATCACTCATAGCTCTGCTCCTCAAACCTGGCCTCCCATTTTGTCTGACAGCCATCAGAGACACTTAGCTTTGGAATCAATGTTACTTTGCTCTCAGCTCCATGGGTTGGATGTTCCAGCTTCCAGGTTTTATAAAATCTTTATTTCCATGCTCACTGCTATGGGTTAGCTCTACCCACTTTTCTTACTGGGCTAGAACAAGATGCCACCAGCACTTATCTGTTAAACAAATATTCATTAATAAAGACTACGTGCTAGGTACTATACTAGGTTCTGAAAACAGAACAGTGAGACAGTACAGACATGGTTTGTGTCTGCATTAAGTTTATAACCTGAAGTGGGGGTATTTGTGAGGGGATATGGAGAAGGAAGCAGGCAAGTGACAATGCAGTATGATAAGGGCTATATGAGAAGTTAACATGCAATAAAAACACACAAGACACATCTCTTTTGGTCTTAAAGAGATGGTAAGGGAAGGCTTTCTAAGTGGAAGCAACATGGAAGCAGAAACCTAAAAGAAAGGTCACATGAACAGAGTTTTACCAACTTAGAAGGGATGGAAAGAGGGGAAAATAATCTATGAAATGTAATAGTCAACTAAGGGCCCAGAATTGGGAGCAAAGATGGCGAGCTCTGGAACTGACTGGATGGGAGATGAAACTAGAGAGGAAAGCAGGGCACAAATTACCACACGTCTTGTGAGTTGTCCTCATCTGTTGGGCCACAGTAAAAAAATACCTTTAGACTGGGCTATTTATAAACAACAGAAATTTATTGCTCACAGTTGGAAGACTAGAAAGTTCAAGGTAAAGGTGCCAGTGGATTTGGTGTCTGGTGAGGGCTTGTTCTCTGCTTCATGGATCGCACCTTCTAGCTGTGTCCTCCCATGGTAGAAGGGACAAGGCAGTTCCCTTCAGCCTCTTTTATAAGGGCACTATTCTCATTCACAAGGGACTAAATCACTTCCCCAAAGGCTCCACCTTAATACTACCACATTAGGTATTAGGTTCCAACCTGTAAATTTTGGTGGAACACAAATGCTCAAGCCACAGCAATAATGTTAATTACTTTGTCCTCTGTCCTGAGATTACTGGAACCTATTGAAATTATTTTGGGGAGATAGTGGAGGAGCAGCATCATGAATAGGTTTACATTTTTGGAAGATCATTCTGGCTACGTGGGATGGAGTAAGAATAGAGTGGAAACAGAAGACTTTTTTTGCTTGTAGGTTGTTTTGTTTTCCAAGCAGATGATGTCAGCCTGGAATAGAGCAATAACAGCGAGAATAGAGAGCAATGCTAGAATTCAATATATATATTTAGAAGAGAGAGAAATATAATCTATAAATTTGCTTATTGGTTACAGTAATGAACTGATGCTTGGCAAATATTTTTAGTGCCTCCACATTCTTCACAAACTTCAATCTCCATGTCTCAGAGAAGGTAACAATTGAGATAACTTATCATTTATTATTATTTATTATTATCAGTGCATTTTAGGAAATATTAGTACAAGTATTCAAATGTAAAGTTCCATTAAAAAAGCATTTCTTGTTCAATGCAACTATTGTCCTGTCCACAAAGAAACTGATTCCCACACATACATTTTGTTTCAGTGAGAGATTTTGGAAGTTGAAGAGAGAGAGAACTCTTGTAAAGTTTTGGCATAATTATAGTGGCCCTAGGACTAGGGGAGAACTTGCTCATTTTTCCTTATATATTTGCTCTGGACTTTGTGTTATTTTCTTATCAGAGTCTGTAAACTACTAATAAGGGACACTTGTGTCTTTGAAAAAGGCCATACATTAGAAGTGTTAAGGCAGGGCTTAAGAACCTGGATATTTATCTGTTTTAAAAGTCTTTTATAGACAACAGTGTTTGAGGTCATCCATGACTGAAAACCAATTATACAATAATAGATTGATTAGGGTTAACAAATGCATGTCTCTGTACATTTCACCATATGATTCTGTCATTAGAAAACAAACAATAAGTAAAAAGAGCAGAGGTTATTTTGTCCCTCTTCTATCTTTGGGATCAAAGGTGATTAATAAATAAAAATATTTTCATAATTTTGAAAATTTCTTCTTTTTGAAAAAAAGAGCCCACTTTCCTCATATTAGGCTATAATCTGAGTAGAGATCAAGTGCCTGGTTGATAGTTCTGTGTTATCTTAACTGTGAATCTAGGAATTAGCACACAACTAGAATATAGTAGATATTTTGCAAATGAATAAAATGACACCTTCTTTCATTTGTTCTATGATAATTTCTTCCAAATTTTATGGTATTTCTAGTTCTAGTATTCTATTCTTTCTCAAATCTATTGTATCATATAAGCCCAAGGTATGACTATTATCTCTTTTTTTTGGTCTTTGATATTACCCCCTTTCAGTTTTACATTTTTCTCCAAACTAAAAAACTCAAACTGTGCTAGCATTATAGTTCCCTATCCCCACTCTGGTTACATGTTTCTTGATGCAGTGTGATATGTAGCATCTTATTGGTACAGTAGATGGATAGATAATGGCTCTGATGGGAACATGCAAATAAAATTTCTATTTTGTTTTAACATCCCTTAAGGACATGCAGGGTGGCAGATTGTGTTACTGATTGAAATGTTTATCTGCCATTCCTGTAAATTATCTTGCAACATCCATTCCTTCCTGATGGGAGGAGAATACTTCGTGACCACACTAACATTAAGCATGTTCCCGTGACTTGATTTGGCCAGTGGTTAGAATATGAGCAGACAGGACAGGAGCCATGTTCAACCAGAACCCCTGAGAGCATCGCATGGTTTACCCACCAGTGTTTTCTCCTTTCCATGAGATGCGGATGGACGTTACTTTTTCAGCCCAGACTATAGATTTGCAATGTGGGTGATACTGCCCTCAGTGGCGTATAATTGATTCTTGGGTGGGGGAATTGGCAAAAAAATGAGAGTAGAGATATACATAAAGTACATAAACATATTTTAAAAAGAGTAGAAATGGGTTGAGAAACACTGGAGTCAATCGTCAGCATGTAGAAGAAACATGCAGCAGAGCCACAGAATGAGTCAACCCACAGCTGACGTGCACTGTGACTAAGAAATAAACCCATGCTGTGTGATCCACTCAGGGTTTGAGGTTGTAACCGTGGTACAGCCTGATGATAGCTGACTGCCACAACTAGCAATCTGTTGGCTTTTGTGGCCTTAACAGCACTCTCCGGGATGTACATGGGCCCAGCTGTTGAGGTTTGGTTCAGAAGGCCTGGTGTGGAGTCTGGGAATATTTATTTTTGGAAAGCTTTCCTAGTAATTTTCCAGTGAATGTTTAGGTATGGGCCAGTGATGTTAATGAGGCCAAAGTTTTATGATTCGCTGGCAGAATCTAGCCATCTAGGTAAATTTGTCTCACATGTAACATTTGATGTTCTGAGCTACTTCAACATTATCATCTGACAGCTATCACAGACACTACATGACAAAAGTATCCTAAGCCAAGAGGTAATTTGCAAAACCCACCGGAAGCTTCTTTAGTATTTCTTCCTCCTGTATTTCCTCAAATCTATAGTTATTGTTCTTCTTAAACCAGCTTTGGAACTTGACTGCAGAATATTTGGTGATTTACTTCCATTCCAGCCTCAGCCCCCCAGCCTCTGGTTTCCATTCTGCCTATGGAAACCACGGTCTGGAAATGGAAGCCTGGCTCAGTGTTTGGTTCCCTACTTAGCACTTGCCCTCTTTTTCATTTCAAACTGGGATCCTGATTTGGTTTTGTTGCTTGTGGATCCAAGATCTTCCAGGTGCAACTCAGTCATCTGTGGCTGGTCTAAGCCTTTTTGGCAATCCTGATTTGTTTTCCTTCACCAGCGGCTGCTTCAGAGGGAGAACATAGGTCCAGTTCTCACCAATGTGATGTGAAGGGAAATCTGTTGAGGACTGCGGGAATATTTTTGTCTTCCTTTCTAAAACGGGCTTAGAAGAAGTTCCTTTTTTTCCCCATTCTCTTTCTGCCAGGGATGGCTGTAGATGAAGATGTAATGAGCAGAGCTGCAGAAGTTATCTGGTGACAATATATTATATGTTACTGACATTTTGAACAAAGCAGAAAAGACTGAAAGGATTTTGAGTCTTTGATGACACCCTTAAGCTGCTGCTCTAAACCTAGAATTTCCTAACTTCAATTTTTTTATATGTGAGAGATTTAAATGCTTTCACTATTAAAGCCAATGTTAATTAAGCATTCTGTACTTGCAAGCAAAAGCATCTCTAACTGACATAAACTTTCTTCTCAATAAAGACTTTTCCATCTACTCCTGTCCACATTTTCTTTCTTTCAAGTTCCTGATTGTCTCTATTACATATTTGGTACTTATGCCTTGCCAACTATTTCACATATATACATCTTGCCTCTCTAATGGTTTGTAAATGTTTTGTTAGCGGGAAACAGCCTGTTTTTTATTGTAAGTGTTCCACACAATGACTTTCTCAGGATGGAACAATTAAGATTGTGTTGAATACCTGAATGATGTTCATCCTACAAAGTTAATCATTTCAAGGCCAACTGTTAAAATCAGTACTTGCCCAAGTTGACAGCATCCGAAACCAGCTGAAAGCAGCCTTCTTGCTATTTTGAAGATCTACGAGTTAACAGGACCTGGACACTGAGATATACAGTGAAGTTTCTATGAAGGAAAGACTAATACCCTTTGGATAAGGTAGAGTTCACTTCATGTATTTGTACCTTTTAAACTTGACTTCATGTATTTGTACCTTTTCACCTCATAGTTGCATGTCTTTAATGACATCTTTGGTCTGTGAATATTTGAAACATTAACATAATTATCTATCTTAACATATTGTATTTACCACCTGCTGGGGATGAAACATTGAAACTATCACTAGTAGCTCATTAACAATAACACTAGTCCCTCATTAACAGTGTTGACCCAATTACGTGTTGTACATCCCAGAGACAAATAACTGTAATTGCAACTCAGAAGTGATTTCATAAACACAAAGATTCTTTTTTTGAAATGCAAATTGGAACGCATTATTTGAATTTTCCACATAAATACAGGTTTAAATGAAACAAAGTCATTCAACCAAATAAAATAAAAATTCAATCTAAAGAGAGGCCATTTGGAATCAATTGGTACAGAGCACATTCTGCTTTGAAGGATCAAAACACTGTCATTGCTGGGTGCAGAAATTAAACAAGTTCGCAACAATGAATGCCAGACATCTGGTAAGTGAGATCTACCCTGGCTATCAGCAGGTAGTGATTTTCTTTTGGACTCATTCAGAGTATTGTCTGTTGCCTGGACAATGGAAGTCTGATGAAGCATTAATATAATCTGCCTGCAGGTCTTAAATAAGCTTCATTGAAAAGATGGAAAACTGGAGAGATTTGTGTGGTAAAAAAATTAATTGTGCATATACACGCACACATACACACACACATAAATAACAATGCCTCCACCATCATGTAGAAAAGATCTGTATAAACAGAAGCAAATACAGCGTGATATATTTGCAGAGGTAGGGAATGTTCTTTTACCGAGACAATTACTATGATAAAAATTAGGCAAAGTTAGCCCAGGGAAACTGGGAAGAGACAGCTCTGAGAAAGAAAACCTGTGCTGAAGTCAAGATGTTAAAAGCAGAGACATTTCTTCAATATGAGCAGACTGCTCCACAGCCGTTTTTTCTGTTGAGGGAAAATTACTGCTGCAGGAATGGGGCCGAGGGATGGAGAAGGAAGAAAAACAGAGGGGAGAATGAAACTGAAATTTACTACCTAGAAAACCAGCTTCTAGGATTTCATGGGATGTCTCAGTTCAACAAACATTCGGGGCGGTGGTGGTGCCTGTTCTTATTCTCTTACTTAATGAGGCAATGTGTTGATAAAATGCTGTGTTTACCATTTAAAACATTAAAATAGCCAAGCACATACTGAGTGCCAGAAATCTCCCAGGCATTGTTATGATTGCTGGAGGAGGGATCCTAAGGATGAACACCCGTCTCTCTCATGCGTTAATATCAAATAGTGAAGATAGCCCTAATACATTTTATCACTGAGAAAAAAAGTTCTGTGCCCTCTCTTATGGGCTGAAAGAGCATGAGAAATACACTTCTGGCTGGGACACAAGCTGTATGATCAAGGGCAAAATACTCTGGCTGGGTCTCATTTTCCTTGTTTTTAAAGTCTGTTTCCTTCTCTACAGGCAGTTGTGAGAATCAAATAGTGCAAAGTTTATGAAAAGTGCTTTAAAGATGGCACCCACACAATGAAAAGTGTTGATGCCATCTATAGGAGAGCAGGTGAAGCGGGAATTGATTCTGGCAAAGGACACACTTTGGGAGTCCCATGAAACTGCAGCATGGCCAGAGTGCTTGACCACCCAGAATGTGCTGAGTTTAGGACTTAATCTGATCCTGTGGATCAATTGTAATTGACTTATGTCACACAAATTTTGCCATTTCTGCAGGAGCCTTTGATGGAAAGTCATTGGGACATTACGTGGTTTCTTAACGTGGACAACATTAAGGGACTTTTTTTTGCCCAATATTACTAAACTCTTGGTGATTGCATTTTAAATGAGCACCTTTCAGTCCTTCTTCCATATTGCTGAGGCATCTTCAATGCATTTGTAAAAAAGCATGTAACTTGACTCTCCTCATATCTTAGCCCCCTGCAGTTTTGAACATGTGTTTTTATTAGCTAATTTCAGTTTTAAAACAAACCTCAGGCACAGAAGGTAGAATAGGCAGGGTTTTTTTCCATTTCATTATAGAAGAAAAGAAGGCACAGACGTTTGCCAAGTGACTTAGTGCTTACTAGGGACAGAGCAAACAGAGAACTTGAGGTTTTACTTTCCATTATTATTATAACGCTGGTTTTTCTCAGCACAGATCTGGACATTCTGATGCTCAGAAGTAAGTGCAGGGTCAGTTGAAAGCATCATTTAACTAACTCTCTTCGTTATGCCATCACTAATATTGCATCATGCCGTCTTTTCCCACAGTGAGGTTTATTTTCGTTTTTGTTTCCCAGAGTTGAAAATTTAATTAGCTATCTTTTCTTTCTGTCCAATTAAGGTAAATGATAAAATAAGGTAAATCAAAGAAAATACTTATATTTAAGGTTCTCCAAAGTCATCCGAAAAGCGTAACAATGGCAAGCATTTATTTTCTGACTTTATGACTTTGGTTAATTTTTTTCTCTTTCTCCTCTTCCTTTCTCTCTCTCTTTCTCTTTCTCTCTCTCTCTCTCATGCACACACACACACACACACACACACACACACACACTCACACATCCCCCTCAATGGGCCATTTGTCTGTTGACTGTGAAGTGATGCCTGCCTTTGTGATTTGACTCTGAAAGTTTTTATCCCCAGCAATAAGAGATGACTGCTCCAAACTTGGATTTCTAATGGATCACAGATCTCTAGGTGTGGGATAAAGGGGACTTCATTTACAAAGATGAGTCTTAAATTCGGGGCTAGGATTCCTTTACTTTATTTCTTGCAGTCTATTCAAAATAATGTGGTGTAACAAGGGGCTCCTTACTACAGGAAAATCAAGTTTTACCTTTCCCGAATGTATTGGAACAGCAATTAAAAAGAAAATTTGGAAACAGGAGTAATATTATGGTAGTGTAAGAATTATTGCTTTTTCCCCAAAATCAGTATCAAGACTGAACCAGATGATGTTGTTTCAAACACAAAAAAAGTCCGACTTAACAATTTAGAACAAAAAAAAACGAGTTTTGCAGTATATACCAAAAGCAAAACACAAAACAAAACAAAACAAACCCCCACATATTTAAATTTAATAAGTAAAGTTCTCTTGGCAGAGTTTTAAGTATCTGCAGTAGAGGAAGCAGCTGGCTGCATTATAGCTCTGTAAATGAAGAAATATTAAGCCAAACAAAAATACCAAGATGAAACTTATAGTTTTATACCTGGCAATGCTGAGCATCAAGGCAGTGTGTGTGTGTGTCTATAAAGTTGGCTGTGTAAATAGTCTTTGTATCTGTTCACAGCTCTGTTATACGGCAATGTTTTCCAGAATATCTCATTTGGTATTTCCATTAACTGTGAGGAAAACCCAGCCAGTAAACTGGTATGCAAATGTAACAAAAAATGATAATGATTTTGATGATTAATAAAAGAAAAGGGAAGAGTATCTGTAAGATTCATTTACCTACCATCCCTAACTACATCCTTGGTAATAACATCCTAAGTTTTCAGTGAGTACCACTTTGTCCAACTCTGAATCTATGTCATTGAAATGTTGTTAACTAGGTAGCATCACCCAGGTTTAGTCAATGAGAACTTTTAGAGGGATTTAAAAAATAGAATTGTCAGATATATACTTCCTTTTTCGGATTTCCAGCACCAAGGACAAAGCAAGCTTTGTCTAGTGGCATCATAGGTACTATATAGACAGCCTGTGTGAGATAAAAGCCATCACACAGGGTAGGAAAAAAGAGAAGGAGGGAGTCAAGCTGAGCCCTGTGAGTGGCGCCTTTGCCTGCCTATAAAGGAGAATTTCTGATAATTGGAAAAACGTGTATTCTTTAGGTGAGTTCCCATTTGGCAAATAAACAGCACCTTCATGAAAAGGAGAATAGTCTTGCGCTTCTGGATGAATGCAGCTCATGATTTTGAGAGTAGAGTGTGGCTGGGTGCATATGTACAGTGCACACACTGAATAACCATATGTGGTTGCCCAATCTATTGCCATTTCTTGCATCCCTGGATCCAGCCATTTCTGCAGCTACTGTATCCTTGGACTTTGCCATTACGTGAGTCAATAATTTCCCTTTCTGCTCACAGAAGTTGAAAGTCACTTGCAATCAAATGAACCCTGTACTTAGTAAGTAGAAGCAGAATGTGCAAGTGTCAGATCTCAGAATGAAATTGGTTAAGATGGGGCATGGTTTGAATATTTGTCATCTATCTCAAGCTATAGCAGCGTAAATGGTTAAATTATGGTTTATCGACTCTCAGAACTCAGACAATCATTTCTATTAAAGCTTGAGTTTTAGTGTTTATGTAAAATTGGTCTGTGGTTTTAATTTTGTTTTGCTTTCTAAAATTTATGCTTCATTTTTAAGATGAATTGGGAAGAATTTCCACTGAAATGGAATTAGCTCACACTGAAATATATAATCAGACTTACTGAGACAACTGTCTGGGACTAATCTTTATTGAAATAATTTATTGGAAACCATTTCTTTCATAGTTCTTGCTCTACTCAGTTTCTCTACCTGTTATTTAGAAAAATATATCAGGAAAATTTACTTGAGAATTTTTTATCATTCCTGATGGTAAAAAATATTTGCAATTACTCTTCTTTCTTGACTAGTCATCTACAGATGTTTCTTTTTTATGTACATTTTTAAAAGCCAAAATTTTAAATGTGTAAAACTACTTATACTATTTATCTTTTAATATTTGATTGCTATTTGCTTTCATCATTATAGTTTCTTCATATTTTTCTTAGATATTTTGGTATTTTTTCCAGTCTCTCAAATTGATTTTATTCTCTCTTTTATAATAATGAAAGTATTTAAGGCTGTGGGGTTTTTTTCTGCTGAATGCAGCTTTTGCTGTATCATTTAAATTATGGTGCATTAGCAATATTGTTACTTTCTAAATAGTCTGCAACTGTAATTTAGATACTCCCTTTAAACCAGAAGTAATTTAGTAATATTCATTTGTTATGTGTGTGGGTATGTGCCTGTGCCTGTTTATTTCCAAGTCACTGAATTTGTGTTTGTTCATCTTTTATTGTATAATTTAATACATTATGCTGATGACAGATAAGAGTCCCAGTATATACAAAGCAGTTGGAGAAAAATCTGGTCACATAATCTTAGGGGATTTTACTGGCTTCAAGATGTTTTGAGAAGACATGAGTGCTAACTTATTCAAAAAAAGAAGCTTTCACTGGGTTTTATGAATCTATCCACCCAATATTTCTACTTTTTAAAATCCCCTCCTGATGTCCATCCTCAACTTCCATTTTATCTTTAAAACCTAAAATTCAGAATAAATTACTAGAGTTACTAAAGAATAAAGACCCAGAGGAGACCCCTGAGATTTACCTCTGGAAGACTTGGAATCAATTGGTACAGAGCACATTCTGCTTTGAAGGATCAAACACTTTGATCCTTCTTGATTGTCCGTGTTCTATAACACCACTGATTAGTTGGATTATTTCAATCATTTCAAATTTTCTTTACCTTCCAAATAATTAAATTCCATCTCATGCCTCCCTAAATCCACCACCAAAGCATAAAACTATACTAAGTTATGGGTACTTATATATTAAATAAAGAACGAGTTGGTTAAGATGATTTTATCTGGAAGTTGTCAACCTTAATAACAAACATAGAGAGGCACCCAAAAAAAAATAATGTTTATTTCAGAATAGGCATTGCAATGGGAATATGCATGGCCTAGCAAACTATGTGTGTACTCAGGGATATAAAAAAGGCAATGTTTTTAAGAGAAAATTAGGGAGAGTTTATATAATTGTTTTTGAGATAATTATCCTTGCCTACAAGAATCAATAACATGGGTAGTACAAATCCGAGGTTAGACAGGCAGTTGTTGAGCAGATGTCTTCAAAGAGGAATTTTTTTTTTTTTACTGGAAAGTTTCAATGGCCTTTGTGTAAGAGTTGGATTTTGCAGAGTCTTTTGAGATAGTTCTTGTTTTTAGGCACTTATTAATGAAAAACCTCCTTTCATGGCCTTCCATGGTTTTATCAGAGTATTTAAAACAAGCAACTCCATCTTGATTCTGACAACTTTCACAAAGTTTTTTAAAAATGTGGTTGAATAACAAAATTTATTATCTCCTAAGCCCAAAAATATGGCTGATCTAGGGGTTGCTTGTGGTCCAGAATCCCCAAGGACTCAGATTTTTCTTGTCTTCCTGGTGTACCTAATCCTAACAGGTCATTTACACCTGCCTTCCTGCACCGTGTTTGCAGGATTGTTGTAGCAGCTCCAGGTCTATCATTACTCAAGGAACAGCAAATCCACTTTTCAAAGAAAAATTTTCCTAGAATATCTTTAGAAGATTTCCCCTTAAGTCTCTTTGTCTGGAATTGTGTGATATGTCCTTTCCTGAAGCAGTCACTCTCAAAGAGCACAGGAAGCATTTTTTATCTTAGTGTAATGAGGATTTCTTTCCTTAAATAGGGTAGAAGAGCCTGGTGCTTCTCTGAACACCTGGCTAGTTGATGCCCTCGTAAAATCGAGGGCGTGTTTTCTAGGAACGAGGAGGCTTTTGTTTAAACAGCCAGTAGTGTCAGTCATGGAAAACATTGATTTGCTATCAAGACGTCTCAAATGAGCAATGGATAAGAGATAGAATTTCAAAGAGGGGGTCTCTCAGAGAATGAAGATTTCTTGATATGGTAAAGAAAAAGAGGGTGATAAAATAGATTTTAAAATTCTCTACTATTCAGTAAAATTTACTTTATTTCTACTTGTATATTAGGACTATATATTAACAACCAAAATTATAGTTGAGTTTTGATTTGGCCCAATTTGAACATGTTTGTGTTTAGTGGGAATTGAACAAAGTTTGAGTTATTGTGATCACTGATACCTTTTTTTTTTTACCTCTTTTAAAATTTTATTTTTGTTCCACATTTGGAACAAGTTTTTTGTATTTTTCTAGATTGCTATGTTTTTGCTTTTATGTTTGCCTTTATGTTTTACAAAAGAGCTTCTTATTTATCCAAATTTTAAAATCAAAAGGGAAATGCTAACATATGAGAAGTTTAACACAATTTTATTTTATCTGCCTCTACCAGATATATTAGTCTTTGGGGAGACTGTTTTTGATCAAAATTGTTTTTATAACATTGTATTCTTTTTAAAAATATAACAGCTTTATTGAAACATAATTCACATAGCTCACCCTTTTAAAGTGAAGAAAGTTGTGCATGGATTACTGCCATCTAATTACAGAACATTTCTTATCAACCCCAAAAGAAAGCTCATACCAATGGAGTCACTCCCTGTACTCCCCCCTCCCCAGCCCCTGATAAGCACTAATCTACTTTCTATATATATATAGATAAATTTATATATATATATAAAATCTATATAGATAAATTTATATATATATAAAATCTATATATATAAATTTGCCTATTCTGGACATTTCATGTAAATGGAATCACATCATATGTGTTCTTTTGTGACTTCTTTTAGTTAGCAGAATGTTATGAAGGTTCATCTATATCAGAATACCATTCTTTATGGCGCAATACTATTCCATTGTATAAATATGCAAATGTTGTTTATCTCTTCTTTAGTTGATGGACGTTTGAGTTGTCTCCACTTTTTGGCTCTTATGAATAATGCTGCTATGAGCATTTCTGTAGAACTTTTTGTATAGACATGTGTTCATTTCTCTTACGCATAAACCTAGGAGTGAAATACCTGGATCATATGGTAATTTTATGTTTATCATTTTAAGTAAATGTTAAACTGGTTTCCAAAGAAGCCACATCATTTTATATTCCCACCAACAATGGGTGAGGGCTCCAATTTCTCTACAGTCTCACCAAAACTTGTTATTATTTCCTTTTGATTCTAGCCATTCTAGTGGACATAGGCATCTCATTGGGGTTTTGGTTAGTATTTCTCTAACAGCTAATGATGTTAAGTATCTTTTCGTGTGATAATTGGCCATTGGTATATCTTCTTTAAAGAAATGTCTACTCAAATCCTTTGCCCATTTTAACTGGATTGTTTTCTTATTCAATTTTAAATTTCTTAATATAATATTTATATTATAAAGAATATATTAATATATAGGCAGTTATCAGGCATATAATTTGCCAATATTTTCTCCCATTCTGTGGGTTGTCTTTTCACTTTCTTGATAATGTTCTTTCCAGTCAAAATTTTTAATTTTGATTAAGTTCAATTTATATATATTTTTTCTTGGATTGCTTGTGCATTTGGTGTCATAGCTAATAAATCATTGTCTATTTTAAGGTTGTGAAGATATACTTAGGTTTTTGTCTAAGATTTTTATAATTTTATTTCTTACATTTAGGCAGTGGTATATATGAGTCTGAAGTGGCTTCGGTAGTCTAGATATAAATATTTTACGTAATTCACCTGTTTTCAGTATAGTACTCCTACCCTTATCTGCCCAACTTTCTTTAGTCTGAAAATTGCCTGATTGCCTGATTTTACTATCTTTAGAGAATAAACCTTTCCTCTTCTGCAAGTATTGGAGAAAGAAAGACATCGGTTGCATGGAATAGGGGACGGGGATTGGGCACTAACAACTTCTTAAACAAACTTCTAGTTAATGCTCTTCTTTGTAGTTTTACCTCCACCTCTACTTCAGAGGCACTAGGTGCCACTGATACTTAAGATTGTCAGTGTTAGTTAATTTCTGTGGTGTAAATTGGGCCATTTCTGTGCTACCCTTAAAACTTCTTTGGGATTCAGCACTCTAGCCTAGGTAAATTGCTTCTTGTCTATTTACAGCTCAGTTTTACAATTTTTTTCTGCTGCTTTATTCTTTTTGCCTATTTTCTGTTTGGTCTTTAGTGTCAATAACATCTGTCCCATAGTTTCAGTTTCTATGCAGAAGGGAGCAAACGTAAATGCCTATTTTCACTCTGCCATTTTTATCCAGAAGCCTGAAGAAGCATTTTTTTTGTTTTTTCAATCAAGTGATCTCTTTTATAAAGGAAATTGGAGCTGCACTGTATAGGTTTTTCCTACTCTAGTTCTATCTGATCAGTACTTAGTGTCAGTTCGTCTTACATTCTGCCTTTATGTTTTCTGACAGGTTTGGTTTCCAGAGTTGTGAATCTTTTTAAAACTTGTCTTCATGGATAGCTCAGTGATAGGTTGAGATAACAATAGGCTGTGTTGCAGTTTTATAGTCAGAGAACATTTGAACTAGAAATCATTTTTGTTTAGAAAATTGTGTGACATAATTGGGTACAAAAGTAAAATTGGGGATGCTAGCCTCAGATATTATATTCCTTAAGGGAAAAGGGATTTTACTACATTTTTTCTTTAAATGTCCCGGCACCTGAGCCCTATTGCAGTACATCCAGATTGTCAAGTCACAGGTGTTCAATGTGTTCTTAGCCACAGTTTTCTGAGAGCTTCTCTTACAGCAGAACTCCACAAAAGAGGCCTGAAGACACTGTATCATGCTCGCTCCCTAAGGTTATTATTCAATTTCATGATTCTGCAATACTATCTGTAAGATAATGGGTTCAAAATTTACAACTCTATTTCTAACCTCTTCTTTAAGTTTGGATTAATTTATCCAGCTACCACTTGGGTGCCTATTAGGCATCTAAAAAGGGAAGTCTTAATTTCATCTTCCTACCTGTTTCTTCCCAAGTATTTTCTATCTTGGTAAATAACTCTACCATTTACCCCATTACTCAGGCCCAAATCCTAAGAGTAATTTTTGTAGGGTAACCAGCTACCTTGGTTTGACTGGGAGGTTTACCAAGATATAAGCTTTTCAATGCTAAAACCAGAAATGTCTTAGACAAACTGGGGTGTCTTGAATATTCTAAATTATTGATTCCTCCTTTCTCTCCCTCACATCCCTCACACAAGATATTAAATAAATGAATAAATGAATGATGATTCCCTGACAAGATGGTATCCTATAGAATCATAGTAGCAGGCTGAATTAAACTAGTGGTAAACCACAATCTGATATGTTTCGTTTGTAATCATAAAGCCAAAAGTAGAGATGTTAGAATAACTGGAGCCTCATGTTGAGAAACAGCAATCAACTCTTCTATCAGGAAGAGAGTTGTGAATTTGAAATCACTTGTATTCTTCAAAATTACTTCAAATGTTGTTCCATGAATCAGTTTTCAATTCAATAGAGTGCTGTCTGCCTGCAAGAGTTTCTCTAGTATGCTCTGTGTGTGTTATTAGAGCTGAAATTGAGAGGGTTATCTTGTCTTTATGTGGTTAAGCAATAGCAATAATGCCAACAAACACAGTCTATTTTTTTAGGTAAAATCTTTTGTTTTCTAGTGATGGAATTTCAACTCTGTTTAAAGTCAAAAGTGAATTATTAGTGAAAATTTATTTATTAAATAGTAATTAACTTCTGGGTGACAGGCTCCCTTTAGACATTAAGGGTAAAACAATGAATACAAATATCTTGTCTGCTGGGAGAATCAATTTGATTCACAACAAATGTATAAGTAGAGAAACATTATGAGGAAAAAGTCAAGATAATAGGGAGCGAAGAGGTAAATTAAATAATATAAAAGTAGGTGAAAGACAGTGAAGGGAGTTGCTGTTTTAGATAATGTCTAAAAAGCTCTGCAGAAGTAATAATTGAGCAGAAACCCGAATGAAGTGAGGGAATGGAGGGAGTGAGCTACGCAAAGGTCTCAGGAAGGAACATTCTGAGCCATGGGAAGAATGAGAGCAAGTCCTGCTTGGAGAATAGCATGTTGTTCAAACCGAGTTGGGAAGAATGAGCATGAAGCCAGGTAGACAATGGGAGTCAAATCACTTCAGGCTTTTAGGCTATAGAAAGGACTTTGGATATATTTTATATAGGATAAGAAGCCAATAGGGAAGTCTGACCTCTCTGGTGGCTGTGAGGAGAATCGACAATATGAAGATGAAGTGGAAGAAGGATACCCTGGTAGAAAGCTCGACCGTTTATCCAGATGAGAGATGATGCTGGCTTGGACTAGGATGGCAGAAGTGAAGAGAGATGGTCAGAGTCTACTTCTGACCAAATGTGATCCAAAAGAATACAGTAATAAATTAGGTGTAGGTTAAGAGAGCGAGAAGAGTCAAATATGGCTACCGATTTTTGGCCTGAGCATCTTGGAATAGATGCAGTTGCCATCTTTCTCATAGAAGGAGACCAGGGTGGGGTAGAGATGTGTATCTGGGGCAGGAGGAGAATTTAATGTGGGGTGTGCTAAGTTGAGGATTTCTAACAGATGTGCAAGTGACAATGTTGAGTATAGGGAGATTGTGGAACAAATCTGGAGTTCCAGGGAAACACTGGGGCCAGAGACATAATTTGGGAGATGTCAGTGAGTAGATGGTACTTATGGCCGTGAGGTCGAGTGAGATAACCAAGAAAGGGAAAATACGGATGAAATGTGAGAATTGAGATTGCAGGGGGGTGGGGGGCATTAATGAGATGGTATATGTAAGGCACTCAGAGCAAGCATTATTTAGTGAGTGTTAACAGCACATTATTTTAAGGGTTTGTTAAAGCATAAGTCAAAAAGTACAACATTAGAAGACCTGGCAATGGAGACTGAGATGAGGCTGTTGCAAGGTAGAAAAAGAGAAAACCAGGAGAGTGTCACATGATCAATGCCAAAAGAAAAAACAGTGATCAACTTTTGTTAAAAGCTGCTGAGAGGTTAAGTAAGGTGAGGCAAAAATAAATAAATAAATAAATAAAAAAAATAAAAGCAACATATTTTAGGACAATTAAATTTGATAGGCAAGAAGAAGAAAATGGAGGCATTGTGCTTCAGGTTGAAGAAAAGAGCAGTCTATTTACCATGTGTTTTGGGCTATGAGATTGTAGGGTGGGGTTGAGAGATTTAAGCAGGAAGGATGGGTTTCTTCTCCCTGGAAGGCTGTGCCTTGGAAGTGGTGCTGGCAACTAACATGGGTTCCTGGAAGAGCCACACCTTAAAGACAGTTGCCTTGGGAGTCTGAGCAAGGGACTCTCTATGAAGTGGAGCCATTTGCAAAGCTGCTCAGCACCAAGTAGACGACAGAGGCTTTGGCAGCAAGCTGGGCAAATGAGATTCTGCTCTAAATCCAACAACAGAACTGGACAGATGGTAAAACAGGAGGCCAGTGGTGCATCTTGGGGCTGCAATAGCAATAGTTGCCACTGCAATTGCAGGCTTAGAGGCCTCTTTTGAGGAAGTGAGTTAACATTGGGGACTCCTAGATAATATCAGGCAGGCTGGTTGCTGAGTAGGATTTAATTTGATTTTAAAGACATGTACATTATTGACACCAGAAGTGCATGGTGGTGCAATTTGCATGGACATCTCTGCTTCTGTAATTGTGTCCACTTGTGAGAGATCTGACATTGCTCTCTATGTCTGGGTATGAATGATGTCGTTACTCTTGTTTATGTTGGGGTGACCTCAGTTTCAGGGGATGCTTTCTCTTTGAGATGAGTAAGAATGATCAAGGGTGAGCATGCAATTGGCAGGTTTCTGTTATAGATGTGCATTATGTAGATTGACCTCTAATGATTCGATTTCCTGCCAACACAACCTTTCTACAGCATTGTGAAAATAATGTTTGCAAGCTGTCCCTTATAATCTACTTTCCCTGGCACTGGGTAAGTTTCATGTCCACTGAACTTGCCAGTTCCCCATGAAACCACTGGCGGCATCTCCTTTACCAGGGGCAAGTGTATATCAAAGGATTGTATAACTATTTTACCTTGAATAGACCCAGGATTTAAGAATGAAGTTCCCCTAAAGTATGGCAGCATAGAATTTCTGATCCTCAAATTGTTGAATGGCAGCTAAACATTTGACAACATCACAATAGTCATTTGGCTAAGCATTTCAAATGCAGGTATACAACATCATGTTCAATAACTACATTTTAAGCTTTTGGTTAATTTATACTATATATGTATAATGTGTATGCATGTATGTACTATTAATGTAATTACTTTATATTCATTGTAGGTGTTCTGGTGCCTGCTTTTAATCTTGGTACCTAAAAGAAAAAAGCGTTTTAACAACAGCAAGTTCTTAATGGCCGCTTTGGTCACAGTTGTTGATTACCAACCTGTCATGCTGAGGTGCTTGGTGGCTGCTAGGATAGGATGGCAGATGAAGGACTGGAGAGACACATGGCTGGGCCTAAAATATAGCCCCAAACCAGTGGCTGAGCTGCAGCTGCCCTTGAACAATGTGAGGCATCTGGAAGGACAGTGAGGGGTATATCTAGACCAGATCAAATCAGTAGGTGTACATCTGTCTGGCAAGGGCACATTGTGGGCAAATGAAGAATTAGAATAATCCATAGGAACACAGCCTAGAGCTTCAAAGGTCTTTGATTGGTCAGCTGGGGTTCAAAGGTTACAGGGCAACACAGATAACTGAGGAAGCAGGGCCTGGAATCCAGGCAAAGAAACCAGACACTTGTTCAGAGAAACAGCAGCAGACAAGGTCTTCTTCCTGAACCAGGTAGTCTCAACTAGGGGAACTAGTTAAGACAGTCTTCCTGTGCATCCACCAGGTGGAGATTCATTTGTTTGTTTGTCGAATTGATGTTTGATTCAACACGTGATGCAGAAGACAATGACTTGGCTCTCACAAAGCTTATGGTGTACTGGGTAAGACCTACATGAAATTTATACTTGATATCAAGTGATGAGGGTACATTAAGAGCAAAGCCCAGACTAGAAAGAGAAGTGAGAGAGAGAAAATGAAAGGCCATTACTACTCTGTAGTTTGGGCCATTGAGGAACTGAAAGCCCTATCTGGGGTGCAATGGTGGCCTCTTCTCCCTGCCCCTGTAGTCCTTGAACACTCCTAGTGGAGATCACCTCAACCCTGTAGGCTCAGTTCCACCTGAGTCCTGCCTGCAGATGGCTGAAGTTTAAGGATCCAGGAACTTGTTGGGCCCAGCCTTGGCCCTCACCCTGCTGTGCTGGTGACCTGGCAGTTCTATGGGGACAAGGCCCCAGCCTATATGCCTTTTGTGGCAGTCTTTCCCTTTTCCTAGTTCTTTAGTAACCAGGTCATACCTTATTCCCAGCAAAGGGTTTCCTGCTTTGAATGTCCATTCCTCAGAGATAGAATTCCCTGGCCTGACGTTCAACTCTAGAAACCAGTTGCCAGCACCTGCTGCTGCTGCTGCTGCTGTTGCTGCTGTTGCTGCTGCTGCTGCTGCTGCTGCTGTTGCTGCTGCCTCCTAACACAAGCCTGCCTGAAATTTGGGCCTGAAATTGGGTGTTTCATCTCTCATTCCTTCGCAGCTCAGGTGGACACCCTCCCTTATTAACTTGGAGGAGTCATTCTACAGACCTTTCTCTTTTTTTACTTCTTTCTTTCAGATGGATTTCTCAGCCTTAGAATATATGTTTTCCTTGTATCTCAAATTTTAACCTGTGGCATAAAGTCCACTTGATGCCAGTCTTTAACCAGAGTGACATGTTTCCTCATGTGTGCTCTTTTCTAGTCAGGACTATCTGCTGCTTCCCTGGGCTGTAGTTCTGGGAGCAATGCTTACTCAAATCATTCAGGAAAGAAATGCAAATGTAGGAATAGATTTTTGGCTTGTCATGTTCAGTTGTAGAATTCCTCAGGGCAGGACACTGTCCTTTCCCTTTGGACAGGATGACTAGCATTTGTTTATTTTGTTTCATTTCAAGCAGCTCCAGGGGCAATAAGCTTTAAAAAATGTTCTGTAACAGCAAAGACTTCTGAAATAAAGGGATTACTCTATTTCCCTGGCCAAATGTGATTTTTGATATAATTCTCATGTTTTAGCTTTTCTAGTTTAAAAACCTGCATACTGGGAAAATAAGGAAAAAATTCTAGAGGTTGTATGAGAAGGATGAAGACTCTATGCTCATTTCCATATATGAATTTTTTCCTTTGACTGTAGTCCTAAAACTGTAATGTTTTACTTTAGAAGGAGATTCATTGGTTGCCTCATCATCCATTTTGAAGACCATTACTACTACCATAAATAAATACCCAGTACTTGTTTGGAGAGAATAGATTTGCTTAGACAGTGTATCTGAATATTAAGGATAATAAACAGGTACTTGTCTAGAGAGTAATCTATCTTTTCTAACTGCTAGATTTTGAAATTATATTTAGTATTAAGGAGAAATTACTGCAGTGTTTAATGAAATATATTTGAAATCAAATCAGGACTTTCAAATATTAAAAGTAACCAATGTCCTTCAAGGACATAATCTGTATTCCATCTTTGTATTCTTAGCTCCTAGCACACTGTATGCAGGTCTCAACAAGTGTTGAGATGAACTGACTACTGCTTATTTTATGTTGTATTATCTTATGTTATTTACAGTAATAGTACGTGATACATACGGTTACATGTATAAATCTTATCTCCTTAATTGAGTCTCACTTTCCTCAAATAAGGGTCCTGGACCAGATAAATATTTTCAAGGTTGTTTCCAGATAATAACCTGTCATTCTACAACCTTCAGTTTTGACCTTTGCATCCATCTTTGGTTAATAAATTCCAATTGCCTATGGGATATAGCCATTCTGTAAGTTTCTCAGTTTCCCTCTGTCTTGGCCTCCTAACCATGGTTTCCTACCCATCAATAGTCTGATAAGCCTATTCAAAGCACTCACGTTATTTGTAAAGTTGCTTTTAAAATATCATATATATTATCTCTAAATATCTCATTAAGTATTATGGAAGAACAAGGACATTCTCCTAAATGACCACATTACCATGATCAAAATCAGGAGAATCGAATATTGACCCTATCATCATTCCAGGATCCAGTACAGGATCCAGTCCAAGATAACACAGTATGTTTAGTTTTGTGTCTCTTTAGTTTCCTTTAGTCTGAAACAGTTTATTAGCCTTTCTTACTTTTTTCTTGACCTTGGTACTTTTGATATATATGGGTCAATTATTTTGTGAAATAACCCTCAATTTGGGTTTGTCTGTTTGCTCATGGTTGAATTCAGGTATGTATTTTGGGCAGGGAATACAACAGACATGATCATTATATAGGTCTCAGTGCACCATGTTGAGAGGCACTTGAAGTTGGTTTGTCCTATTACTAATGCCATTAAATGTGATCTCTTGGCTAAGGCAGTATCTGTCCAGTTTCTTCACTATAGAATTGCTGTTTTCCTCTTTGTGATTAAATAAATAATTTGGGAGAAGATAATCTACTAAGCAAGTAGCAGAGGGTAAAATGCTAACTGCTAATGGGAAAATATTCATTCTTCTTGCTATGGTTAAGAATGGCTGATTTTAATCCAAAGAAGATAATCATGAACTAAAGTCATTCTTTTATCGCTGAATACTTGGGTAATACATTAGAGAACATTGCTGATGATTTGAAGAGACAAATACTGAAATTTAAAGTAGGGGAGCCTTAGTATATAGTTAAAAGAAAGTGCTTTTTTTAAAAAACAAATTTCAGTGTTTATGATAATGGCTAGATTGAATTTAAATATTGAAATAGATCAAAGACTAATTTGCGATTTCAAATAGGAAAGATATACTGGAGAATACATTCTCAACAGCAAGTGACTTAAGAAGTTAAACAGAATTTTACCAAAAAGTCAAGTGTAATCACTTATGGAACAGCTGCTTTGATTGGAGTAAACATAGGATTTTAAGTTCTAGGTTAGGTTTACTAAAGACTCCACATATGAAAGTTATTAACTACCGAATTTATAGGTAAAATATTTCAGTCAACAAGTTGAAGCTTGAGGTGCATGAAATTGTAGCATGTCATCAATATTTAATTTTAGATATCAAGTCCTTTAAAATACAGGTGTTTATAATATTACGTAATGAGCTGTGTGGTTATCACAAAGATGTTTTGTACCACACAGTGATTCATGGGTTACCTTATGGCAAAATACTTAGACTTACCCCACTTATAAATACTATGCATGTATTTATATATTTAGAAAGACATGTGCTCTAGATTGGCTGACATTTTCTGTGGTGACAAGTGGTTGCTTCAGTGGTATTGAATAGTGTGCTACCAAGTATATAAATATAAATTTAAAACCCTTCTCTCAAGTAAGGTAATCTTTTCTTTAAACAGTAAGAAAGTAGTAACCAATGAAATAAAACCCAAAGCACACAAAGCAAAAAAAGCAAAGGTACCAACACCACCTACCATGGATTAGAGAGTTGAAAATGGCTGTTTCAAAATGTTGTTATTGTTTTGTGATTTTCCCCCCATAAATTATGCCATAATTAAACATCATATATTAAATGTAAAAAAAATTCTAGTAGCATGTTCTCAGGTTTCTTGAACACATGGATCCAAATAAACAAAAATGTAGAATTTTCCAACAGTTGTGCATTAGAGCTTCTCATCAGCCAGTTGTAAGAGCAATTGATTGACATCAGAAGGAATAGAACTCTATTAACCGAATAGTTGGTAGACAGCATTGGTGGTGTGGGGGGCAGTGGATATTATGATTGCTAAATACAGCCAATGATGCATTTCCCCTGTTTGTGCTTATGTAATTTTGAGGTATCATTTTCAGCTATAGAGCTATTGAAACAGGTATTGGAATAAACTGAATTTAGACCCCGACTTTTAAGTCACTGTATTACAGAGTATTTAACTGAGATCTTAAAAACATAGTGGAACATTCAAACATATTGCTTTCTCTCTCCAGTAAAATGGTTTGACTCTTTATAATAGAAATTGTGTATTTCACAAGAACCTACCCTTTCAACTTATTTTTTAGTGTTTTCTAAGTAAATGTATTAAAGCAGTTATATGTGTACATGACTTAAACATTTGTACTGATATGGGTTCACTTTCAGGTTGGAGGCCAGATGTGTAGAGCAGGGAGAATCAGCCTAGGTGTGGTTGTCAGGGGACACTTCACAGGGTGATGTGACCGTCTAGAAAGGAGTAAGATTTGGAAGACAGCCTCTGACCATTAGGGTAAAAGTGATTACAAATAGATCTGGTTTCCTAGAGTAGATGGGGGAAATCAATTCATAAATTTTTCATGCTCATCTCTGTCCTGAGACATTGGAGCATGGAAAGCCCTGCCCTTAAGAAACCAGAGTTCCTGGACAGAAGAATGTCCTACTTGTGAGGAAGAAAGAATTCAGCAATTATTCGTTGAATAGCTTCCATGAGCTTTTATTTACTGGCAAAATACTGGGATGGATACAAAGCAGCCAGGGTATGTAAGAAGATAAGATTAAAACAAGTGGCAGATGAGGTCAGAGGGAAAAGCAGATTTTTTTTTTTTTTTTTTTTTTTTTTTTACTAGAAATCTTGTGGCATCACCACCCTTACTCCCTGCCACTTTTATCCTTCACCATCCAAAGCTTTCTACCTTGTTATTCTGGCCTGGAATGCCCCTGGGACATCTGGTTCCTTCTCATCCTTAAGTCTTAGTTCCAATGGTTTCCTCTCCAGATAGGTCTCTAATCACCGCTGTCAAAGGCAATCATTCCACTGACATCCATTTTCTATCTTAGGTGGTTCCCTCTATAGCAATTGTTATTGTTGATTATTGCATATTAATTGGTTTGCCTGTTTGTTCTCTTTCTCCTTCCCCTACCCTCAACTAGAAGGTAAGATTAGAGCTTTTACTTTTTCTCTTTCACCACTTTATACCTAGGAATACCTAGCACATAGTACAGGGCTTGACATAAAAGCAATTATTTAGTCGACAAACAAAAGTAGTAAGAATCACAACTGAGTCTTGGAGGATGGTAGAATCTGGATTAATGATGAAAGTGAGGGATTTGAGAATGGAGAAACAACTTCAACAAAAATGTGGAGGTAGAGTAGTGTAAAATATGTTTGGAAGATGGAAAAGACCAATTAAGTTGAGTAGAAGGCTTGGGAAATGCAATGGCTGGGCAAAACATTAAATAGGAAATTCCAGCCAGGGCGTGGGAGGTTTTGTATGCTAGCCTACACATATCACAAGGCAATTTGGACTTTATCCTGTATGTGGTCAACAGGGAGTCACTAAACTTTGATGGAAATTGTAAATTAGAAAACTTCAATTGGTATATCCCTTGGCACTGGCTAACTGAACACAATACAACCCCCTGTTGGTTAAGGGTTCTGGAGAAATGTCTGTCCAGACAATGCTGGAAAGAGCATTGACCAAATTCATGTTGTAGTGGGGAAGAAGTAAGCCTACTTCCGGGTAGAACTCTATTTTCAGTGAGTACTAAAATCCCCCTGGATAAAGAGGAGATGGGTTGTATACTTTTAAATCCAGGAATAAATTTGAATAAAACCCTTATTTATTTTATTCAAAATGTAGCCTGCTTCAGAAGACTTTGCAAGAAGGCTTGGACTCCAGACTACTAAATTATAGACTAACCATTAATCTCTTTAAAAATCTAGGCTCTAAACCGGGTGCAGTGGCATGTGCCTGCAGTCCCAGCTACTCAGGAGGCTGAGGTAGGAGGATTGCTTGAGCCCAGGAGTTCAAGTCCAGTTTGGGCTACATAGCAAAATTCCATCTCTATTTAAAAAAATCAGGCTCTGCCACTTATTTGGGATAACCAGTAAGCTGGAGTAACTTAGCTTCAACTTTTAAGACTGTAGACTGGAGAGAAGAATGCCCTACTTTTGAGGAAGTGAGAAAAAATCCCAGCACTGGCACATTCTTACACAACACATTTCATTCCTAATGTTTAGCTGTATCCCACCCCAATGTCAGTTAAATAAGGGATAAAAATGTTCCTATTTGGCGCTTATGCAGCCTATCTAGGAAACCTATTGCACAATTTACCTGCAATATGATAGTACTCGTAATACAAATCTTTCAGTGTGACTTTTCCTGTCATTTGCACATCTCTGAACCTGTCAAAAGCCAGGAATGTTTTCTTAGGACCAAGATATCTAGTTATCAAAGTGTTTATATGCAATTTTAAGCTGGACTTCCCTGTTTTTCTTCCTGTAACTTCCTGGTCCCAAACAGCATTTTCTAAATTATCTGTTGTGAAAAATGGATAATAGAGTCATCTGTAATTTTTTTCTTTACTGTATGTTTTAAGATCTTAAATTGAGACAGGGCAGTGTGACTCTAGGTGGTTTGCTTTCTGGGCCTATTCCTGGAGACAAGTGGTGGGTGGTTCTAAATGTGTCACTTGGACATTTTGGACCTTAGATTCCTTACCTGTCAACTGGAGGCCTTGGATTGGATGACTTCTAGGATGGCTTTCCCTTGTGAGATTGTACAATTTTTGGAGAAACCTGTATGTGTATCCTTCTAAGTTCTTTGAAAATTTCTGCAAAAAGAAGCTTCTATATGGTGTGGGAGGTAAAACCAGATGATCTCTAAGGTCCTTTCAATTCCCAAATTCTGCAATTAAGTGGGTTCCATAGATTCTCACAGATAATAGCTACTTAAAGACATTGACATCATCCACTTATCCATGTTAGTAAAACTATTCATTTCAAAGCTTATAAATATTTCAGAAAACATGCCGGAATTCCATCTCTCCATCCCTGCTTAGATCATCCTTAGGTAATGGTCCCTTTAAGGTCTCCACGACCTCTGTGCAAAGAAAGTTATCTGGGGGTGGTGAATACTGTCCTGCAAGCTCAAAGGTACACAATCTTCATTCAAATCTCTTGTGGCTTTGGCTTCATGTCCTTGGATAAAGTGACTTAACCCCCTGAACTTTCATATCCTTATTTATGTGACCAAGTATAACATAAAATAGGAAATGTTATTTACCTGCTAAATTGTAGAAAGACACACCTGGACTGGGGACAGTGAGTACACACTGAACACTAGTGTTTTCCCCACATAGGTAATAGCACCCAACAGATAATATTTGCCCCACAAGTTATATGCAGATTGGAAAAAGTGGAATCATGTTCCAAGCATCACAGAAGTACTGACTGTAGCTAGTCTGGCATGTGAGCATTTGTTGTCATTTTCCTTGCCCTTCAATATTTGTCCTGTTTTACCCTTTAGTTTCCACTAAAAAGCAGCTGCCTTCACTAGAAAGTAAGTGAGCTCCTTGAGGGCATTTGTATACATTTATTTTTGTACCACCATTCCATTGCCTCCGTCAGTGTTGGTGGCAGGTAGGAGCATCTCAATATGTATATACTTGTTGAATTTAACTGTAATGATAAGTGTGTAAGTGACAAAAAGAGCTATTATTTAAAGAGCATTTACAATATACCAGTTATAGTGGTAAGTATTGTAACATACTATACTTCACTCAATGCCTTGAGGTGGGTAATACTGTTGTCCATATCTTAAAAATGAGGAAACTGGGGCAGAGAGAAATTCAATGCTTTTCTAAAGTTCAAAGATGTTGAGTATGAATTGAACTGGGTCATTTAGTAGAGCCCTGTCCTCTTAGCTACCGCAGTATTACTACTTCCAGGCAATGTGGTCCAAGCCTGATCTGAATCCAGTAATAAATAGCAAAAACATATTACCTTGACATGCACAGCTGATATTGGTAACTGTTCACAAGTTTGTTTCCCAGTAAACTTGCATGTGGTTTCAAAATCAGACTTAATGCAGAATCAGGGCCTTAACTCCATATCTGTTGGAGTGTCTACATCCATTAGAGCCATTTGTCAACCATAGCCTGGATGTAAGTTGAGATGTACTTGACGCAACTCCTCACACTATAGCCACGACTCCTCTCCTAAGGACCATAGGTAGGTATCCGAGGGCCTGTTGGATGTCTCCACTGGGATATGCAATAGACTTAAATATGAAATTATTTGTTCTCTTCTGTGCTATGCCTAAAATTCTTCTTTTTAAGGTCTCTGTTTAAGTTCATGAAAACATCATCTATCCAGTTGCTTGGAAAAAAAGTTATGCTCCTTTCCTCTCCTTCAACCCCTGATAGCCACTCAATCACTGTGTCCTGTCCACTTGACCTTCTAAAATGCTCTTGAATTGGACCCCTTCTCCCTACTCCTTTATCTACTGTTTGTTAGCCTCCTAATGGATCTCTTGCCTGCAGCATCTTCTCCATCTAATCCTTTCTCCCTACTCTGTTTTGGATCATTCCAGTCTGTGATTAATACTCAGCAAGCCCCCATCACGCACAGGATCAAGTCCAGATGTTCCCTGTGCTTCTCACTGCCTTTCACTACTTTGCTCAAACCTAATTCTGTACCCTCATCTGCAGCCACTATATTCACTTTTTATGCCAGCTATGGCAGGGGATGTACAGATCTGGAATACAGTTGACCTTTGAACAATGTGGAGATTAGGGATATCAACCCCTTGCACAGTTGAAAACCCATGTATAACTTTTGACTCCCCCAAAACTTAACTACTAATAGTCAGCTGTTGACCAGAAGCCTTACTGATAGCTTAACCAGTTGATTAACACATACTTTGCATGTTGTATGCATTATACACTGTATCCTTACAATAAAGTGAGGTAGAGAAAAGAAAGTTTAAGAAATTCGTAAGGAAGAGAAAATTTATTCATTAAGAGGAAGTGGATCACTATAAAGTCCTTCATCCTTGTTGTCGTCGCGCTGAGTAGGCTGAGGAGAAGGAGAAGTTGGTCTTGCTGTCCCAGAGGGGGCAGAGGAGGTAGATAGAGAGGCAGGCACACTTGGTGTAAACTTCATTGAAAAAAAATGCACATATAAGTGGACCCAGACAGTTCAAACCTGTTTAAGCATCAATTATACTTCACACATTTTCCAAACATTTCTCAGGTCATGGCTTCTGCCCCAACTATTCTTTTAATTATTTCTGTTCCTAGTAAATTGCTACTTATCTTTTAAGACTCAACGCAAAAGGTTGCTTTCGTAAGTTGCTCTTGGACCACTTTTGTTTATGAATTCCATTTTGCAATCCCAGTTTAATTTTTATGAATCTATTCATTCAAAAAATATTTTTAATACTTCATATATGTCAAGCACTATGTTAGTCTGATCAGAGAGATGACTGTTAATCATATCACATAAATAAGTGGAAGATTGCACCTGCCATGAGGCAAAGGTTAAAGAGGACACAGCACATGCTCAGCCTCCGAAGGCTGCGTAAGAGCTGGTAAGGTGAGGAGCGATGGGTGGCACTGCAGAGCTGGAGTGTGTAAAGCCCTGTGGCAGGGGCAGGGCCCCTCAGGGAATTGCATGATGAAGCGGGGGTGGGGGTGGGAGGGTGCTTCTTGGCCTGTGCTGAGGCTGGAGGAGTCAGCAGGGGCTGGACTGTGCAGCTCTCTGTAAGCCAGGTAGAGAAAGTTGACATTAATCTGAAGAACAATGGAACATATTCGGAGGGGGTTAAACAGGGGGATGACACAATCAGTTTCACGCTTTGGAAAGGTCACTCTGGCTCCCATCCATAGGGTGGACTGGAGGGGTGCAGGAGGACACAGACATGGTAGTTAGAAGCCATTTAGTCATCTGGGCAGTGATGTGGGTTAAAGAGATGGTGTTGATGACGATGGCAGCTGCTCTACAGAAGTCAACAGATCTAAAATAGTATAAAGTGGTCACATCAACTAGCATAGTGATAGACTAGATTTGGGGTTGAGGGTTTGATGACAATTAGGTTTCTGGTTTGTGTCATTAGGTAGGTGAGCTAGAGAACCCTGAAAGAGGACTTGCTTTTGACTTGTGGTTGTGTGTACAGATTTTATTTTGTTTTAAAGGTGATGATGACGTGCAAAGAGGAAGAATCTCATTAGTTTATCTCCTGCATTCATTAGAGTTATTTATATGTGTATTTTCCCTATTACCTTATGAGCTGTTTAAGTCCAGGAAACACTTTCTATTTTTACATATCACCCCAGAGCTTAGCTCATAGGTTTGTTTGATAGTATGGCTTTCCTTAAATTAAAAAACAGAAACAAGCCTTTTAAATAAAATTAAGCACAGCAATATAAAAACGCTTTCAATGTCAATAAGACACAGTACAAATTCCTACAAATATATGTAGAGGAATTATTAGTATTTTTGCTAATTTAGAATATGAAACTCTTTAAAAAATACCCAGAATCCCTCTTTGAGATTCAGAACTAATTCCTAGAGTTAGATTTTCTCAACTGCTTTCCCTTACCTGCTAATTTCAGCTCTTGACCTTCAGTTCCTCTGAGCATGAAGATGTCCAAAGACTGAATTTTCTAGTTCTGTAACTTCTGAAGTTCTCATTTCCAGAGATCATGAAGAACCCCTTCATTGCAGAGTCTATTGGCTATTTCAGTCTTTTTCCACCAGCTATGAATAAACTAAAGACTGCACCTCTTTCTAACATCCCTCTCTGAGTTTTCCTTTTCATCCTTTCATGGGGAAGAAAGGAGGAAGAAGCTCTGGTGACAGGTAGATAGCATAAACCCCTGTGCATGACTTTTTCTAAATTGAATCTTTTCATGAAGATATTTTCACCTTCTCCCACTAGAAATTGCTTTAGATTCCTCCGTCCGATAGCTTCTCTTCCTAACATGTATATCTTTTCAAAAGATATTACATAAACACAACTGGTAATCCATTCTAATCTTTATCATCCATTTACTAGTGCAACCCGGCAGGGGAAGGACAGTCTTAGGGAGCCCTTTCTTCTGGGCATGTGTTCATTCAAAGCACCTGTCAATATTGATGGGGAGAGAGGTTCTTTCAGAAGAATGGAACCAATTTTGAAAATCGTTGAGGGTAATCAGAGGGATGGTGTGGAGGTTAGAAATGGCTTTTTATGCCTGAAGGAGATGAGAAAATCTCCCAAGAGCTGTCAGGTGATGGATAATTTGAAATCCCTTGAAATTATTTATTGGAAACAGCTACTAAAAACTCAGCCACAGTTTTCAGCTTGACAAGATGGGGTTGTTTCATATTTTAAACATTCAAAGGAAACCGCAGGAAAGCTGTCATTAAGAGATCAGTGAATCAAGCCAATGAGTGAGATAATTGTTCACTAAAGAAGAGGAAGTTGAATTTTTAATGTCTCATCAGTGATAGAGGGATGAGGAGGGGATGTGTTGTTGGCTCACCCCTGAGTGAGCTGCTTGGTCAAAGCAGGACTTGAGATAGAAAGCGGAAGAAAAGTATCTTTGGGAACCCACAAAAATTAATCCTGGATCACTCTTTTGGTGGTGGTGCCAGATAAAGCTGTGAGAATCTGTTGGTGTTTATTTTCCTGTTCCAATCAAAATGAAGAGCTATTTAGGAAGAGATTCCCTTAAAGTGGCTGCCTTGGAGAGACAACCAGTGTTGAAGACCAGTAATTGAGGGAGTTATGGTCGTTTGAGTGGAACTGGAGGCAATTCCGAGTGGCGAAATAATAGAACAAAGCACCAGCAGCAAACACCACCATGGAGAAGTAATAATGGAAGACTGGAGAGCTGCTTATCCAATGCTACTCAGCCCTCTAAGAAAACCTTCCGTCCCTGTATCTGCTAAGACTTTTATGGCAGTGGAGTAGCATTAGGGTTTGAGGCAGCTTTTAAAGTAACAACCCTATTTTTCCCTATTTGCATTCAGAACCGCTGTAGAAGAGAACAGGAGTCTCTTCTAAAGAGATACAGATTTCAGGCTTTAATCCAGGTTAATCTCTTTGGAGAATGTGCTTTATTCAAATGATAGAGGTTTGCTTATATTGTGTTCCAGAAGGAAACCTACTTGGCCTGAGGAGGAGTTGGAAGACTGCAGACCTGGCTTCCAGAGGCTGAGCCTTTAATGCTAAGCATACTTCAGGCCAGAGTAGACCAAAGCCGCCCAAAGAAGGCAGATTTCAAAAAGATGGCAGAGGTCTGACTGAGCTCTGTCCATTCCTGCTCAACAATCAGTGTAGTCATGGCATGAAGGGGGCACTGAGAGGCCAGAAGCATTCCTCTGAGGGAGGTCACTACAGGCGGAAATGTGTAGTGGGGGCAGGGGATTGAGTCCCACCCCCCAAAGTAGTTCAGGCTATAAGGTCATACTACACGATGTGTTATCTAGTAAAATCGTATGCTCTCCGGCTTTAGTCCATGAGTTTTAGAGCACCCATCACACAGTGCTAAGAAAATCATTGCGGATTGATTTCATATGTACTTTTAGTGAGAGAAATCCTTGAGGGCAGAAACATTTATAATGCAACTTTAGTTGCCAGTGAACTACATCACAGTGTGGGGTATAAGGTGGCCTTCCAGTGAACACATAGTGGGGCAGTCAGGGGCTCAGGTGCTGCAGGTGAGCAGTTTCATATTGCCAGTTCCATTTGCATTTAGAATTTGGACGTTGTTGCCAGACGAGCAAAGGGATTATGTAAGTACCTTTCTCCTGCTTTCTACCTGAAGTCAACAAATTTTCCTAAGTGTCTCAAGGGCTTCTGGGAGAAAAGATATTGGAGTTGATAGCTCATCTGGAACTTCAAAATTAAACATTTGGGGCAGCAACATGCTGGAAACAGTGGTCTTTGAGAGAAACTGAAGGCAAGGGGAAGTCTAGACTGTGTCCCGGTTTCAGTAGCAGAACTTTGGTTATGGACAGAGAGCACTAGTGACAAGCATATCATATAGTCAAGGCCCAAAGTCTAGTTTGGGGTGTGCCTTAAGTAAAATGTCTGTGTGCAAGTTGTGCTGGTCAAGAATACTAATTCTTGTGATGCCAGCACATTTGGTCCCTGACTGAGCAGTGATGATAGAAAGTCACCCTCATGCTTTGAAGAGCCATGAGCCCTAAGTAAATCAGTGGAGACCTTCAGGCCTGGGTGCCAGTGAGTGGGTAAGTCAGGAACACATCTCCGCGGCTGCCAGGGCACCAGCAGGTGACCCAATGAGAGGAAACAACTCTGGGCTGAGCCTCTCGCCTCTTAGAGACAGTGTGAAGCAGTAGCTAAAATGGCAGGATCTGAAGCCAAGATGCTTGGATTAATTTCCACCTCCTCTTTGACTTGTCCTCTGTGGCATGGATGTGGTCTCTCTTTGCAGTTTTGGCATTCGTGAAAGATGATGATACCTATTTCATGGGCTGTGTTGGGAGAATTACACGAGTTGCTATATAAAGTCTTAGCACATTTCTTGATATGTGGGCAGCACTATAGGAGTGTTAGGTATTGTTGTAACTGTATCCATATTAGCACTTGTGAGGGTATAACTTAAACTCTTCCCATGAAGTAATGTGTTTCCTATCACTAAAGGTTGCACCAAAGGCTGAGATGCATTTATTTGGGGAAGTTCTTACATGTTAGATAAGGGTTTATGTTCGATGATCTTGCCTGTACATCTTGTTAGCACCTGTAGCATGTGTTCATTATTGCTGCATAGTGTAAAGGTCCCTATGTCCACCGTGGATGAGCTTTTATCCCATTAACTGCTGATTGCTACCCTTGACACTCAAAGGACTGGACATCATGGTCTAACCTTCACCTACTTACATTATAGACTAGAGGGTAAGGATGGGGAAGTGCTTGAGGAGAAGGAAGAAGTTTCCAACCGTGCCAGCTTCTCCAGATTGCTAGTAGATTCAGGGTAGGTTAGGGCTCTAAGGAAGCTGGTGGCAGGTTAAGAGTAACATATTAGGGGGATACAAAAGATCTGAGTGTCTAGAGGGTCAGCGTTGGGAGATCCACCTGTTTTCTAGATGTGGTGGGGGTGAGGCATTATGCTCGTGGACTCATGGCAAAGACTGAGTTTAGAATTGCCTGGGAATGCAGGAAACTTCTGTTTGGCATTTCCCCCATACCCTGCTGCCTGTGTTCCACTTTGTTCCACAAAATTCCCAAGGATTATTGGACAACCATTCATGAATGACCTCCTTTGAATAGCCACAGAAGGTTTTACCAGTGGTTCCTCTCTTCTTTTTAACAATTATATATATATATGTGTGTATATATATATATATATATGTGTGTGTGTGTGTGTGTGTGTGTGTATATATATATACATATATATGTGTGTGTATATATATACACATATATATAGTTAAATATATATATATATATATATATATATATTTAACTTTTGCCGTTGTATTTTTCATATATTCAATTGCCATTTGTATAGTAAAGAATGTAACCTTATCCGAGGGAGGTTTACCGAGCTTGTCCAACCCACCTTATTTTTCTTGTTGTTCTGTTTTGTTTTGTTTTAGGCTTTTGGCAGCCTAAAGCCATGGTTTTTAGTTTCTGTCTCTAGTGATAAGCAGAAAAGAGGGATGAGGAAGGGGCTTCACTGGCCCAATCAGAAACAGAAGCTAAGAACCCATGACTGTATTCTCTCCCTTGGACACCCCTGGCCTTTTTCCAATGGCTTTTCGGAAGTAATCTCTAAATCCTTGAAATGTTTTTATTTGCTCAAGAGCCTTGAGCCACACTAGGTAATCTAACAATGTGATTTAGGGTGAGGGCTTTGGATCATGTGGTATCAACGTGACTTTTTTTCTCATAGGGACTAGAAACAGATCTGGCAGGTGGATATGCAATCATTCCTATGTGATGAAGCTCCAGTAAAATCTCTGGACACCAGCACAGGTAAGCTGCTGTGATTGGTAACACTCCACATATATTGTCACATATAAATTTTGGGAAATGTAGTGCTGTCCATGATTCCATTGGCAGATGACATTTGGGAGCTTTGTGCTTGAAAGTTTCCTGGACTTTGCCTCATGTGTCTTTTCCCTTGACTGACATATCTGTATTTTCAGTGTAAGAAACCATAACTCTAAGTGTTAACAGCTTTCAGTAAGTTCTATGAATCCTTCTAGCAAATTATTGAACACCAGTGTGGCTTTGGGGGCCCCTAAACTCGCTATTTGTATTAGAAGTGAAGATGGTCTTGTGAATGCCTCCCTCTAGCTTTGCACCATCAAGATTTTGGCCAAAGAATATTTCATTTTTATTTAGAGGTACATATGCTTCTACTGCAGTCACCTTATAATCTCTTAGTGTAAAAAAATAATTCCAACTTTGAAGAAGCAGGGCAGGCCCTCCTTGCTTACACCTTCTAGAATGTGCCCAGAGGTTATATTCTATCCCGTTCAGTTTTATGAAAAACATATACACACTTAGGTTGAAGGTCTTTTTAATTTTACCAAATGAATTATAGCAAAGTCCTCACCTCCAAAGAACTTTCAGTTATATTTAGGATAGAAGGTGAATACCACCTGAGATTAATAAATTCTAGCCATTCTGGGGAGTTAGAGAAGAAGAGAAAGGAGATTACAATACATTCAAAGGTTCAGCATTAGAAACATTGTATCTGAGTCTTGAAAGTATAGGAATTATTACCATTTTACACATTGAAGTAGAAATTATATGCATTTATAAAATCATCATTCTCAGTAAACTATCGCAAGAACAGAAAACCAAACACCGCATATTCTCACTCATAGGTGGGAATTGAACAATGAGAACACATGGACACAGGAAGGGGAACATCACACTCTGGGGACTGTTGTGGGGTGGGGGGAGGTGGGAGGGATAGCATTGGGAGATATACCTAATGCTAGATGACGAGTTAGTGGGTGCAGCGCACCAGCATGGCACATGTATACATATGTAACTAACCTGCACATTGTGCACATGTACCCTAAAACTTAAAGTATAATAATAATAATAAAAAATCATAGACTAGGAAAACCAGAAGGAAATCTAGGAGTCATCCAACTCAGTGGTTTCCAGAGGTTTTCTGTAGACATGAGTCAGGTTTTCCCTGAAGGGTTCGTGGAAGAATGGAAGCTTCCAAATGGAAGTATCATTGAGAAGAGTTCATGTTGCTCCTCCTGGCTTCATTAGGAGGCCTCTAGTTTTTTTTAAGGGTCTATTTTATAAAAGACTTCATTTTTAGAAACAATTTCACTGTTCAACCACCCCAACCAGATATACAGATCTAGCAATCCCTTTATCTTACAGACTTGGTAAGTAACATGGGACCAGTGAAGAGTTTTGGAAGGGGAGTGATGTTTTCAGGGCTGTACCTTTAGGGGATCTATCAGTGCTACACATAATCAGTTACTAGGGGCGGTGGGGGGCAGCACATTTGACAGCCACTGAGGACTGAGTTAGGGCAGTGAATGGAGAGATGGGGATAAATGTGAAAGACATCATAGAAGTAAGAAGGACTTGTTGGCTGTAGCAGCCAGAGAATGGAGAACAAAGATCTCTCTGAGGTATTTGGATGCCTTTATATACGGACATGGGTAAAACAAGAGTCTGCTCTTCAAGGGAAATGACGTGGTTAGTTCTATACAGGTAGAGAGTAAGGTGCTAAAAATACCAGTAGGTAAATAGAATTGTGGAATCAAAGAGTTATATACTTAAGTGTACTCCAGACTCCATTAGGAAGACAAATGTAGTTAACGAAATGAGAGAAGTTCTACCCAGGAGTCAGGCACTTTAAATTACCTCAATAAATGCCTGAAAGAAGTCTTTTAAATGCATTTGAGTTGTATTACACATGAAAGATGACTTATTGACACAGATACATTAAAAATATCATGTTGCTTTAATAGAAATGTTAATACTTTTGGCTTTTTCTTAACTGGGAGATATTAGCCTTAAAATATTGTTTTGATCCCAATTCCCTGATCAGAACCTTTAGTGGCCATTTTCAGAGCTGCCCAAATTAGAGAAGCCTCTTTTCCTAGATCAGATTTCATTGCAATTATTTCAACTGCAAATGTTTATAAGAAACCAAGAAACCAGGAAACCAAGCACAAAGACTGGTCAAAAGTGTTCCAGGTTCCCCTACTTTAGATAAAATGTAAAAGGTAACAATATCAAAATACCATTCACAATTCTCCTGATTTCCCTCTGGGAGTATAATTCTTCAGTTCTTAGAGGGGTCCTAAGTCCATTTCTCCAGACCTCAGCTCCCCATTTCACTCTCCCTCCTCTCCAGCCAAGAAGGTTCATTTGCTCCTGGAATGAGAGGCTGTGCTAAGAGAGATGATTTCCCATAGCCTCTGTATGAATACCAGGCAACTACATACACTAGAAGGGGTTGTTGAATTCCCTGAAACAAAAGAAAATTTACTACAACCTGTACCCAAGGTAAAAACAAAAACAAAAGCACACAACAACAAAAACCTATTCATACCTTTTTTGGGGGGTGGGATGGGGGGAAGAGGGTGAAAATCCCAAATCTCCAAAACACATAACAAAAAGATCCTTCACGTATCAAAAAGCCTTTGCCTGTGCTGTTCATCCTTCCCCAGGGTAGATATGCTGGTATCGTACAAGAAAAGGAATGGCGACCTCCTACTACCTTGTTTAAATTCTATCTGATCTTACTAAGTTATCCAGTAACTTTAAAATAAATCTGAGACTCTTTAGTTTGTAAGAGCCAAATAATATATTTTAAATTTTTAGCCATTGTGTTTCCCCATCACAATCCCCTATTAGCTCACTCCAACCTCTGGGACCTTTTTGTGGCTTTAGGGAAAAAGAGTCTGAAAAAGGAACAAAGGCATTGATGCTCAGCCTCAGCATGTCATAGCAGGTTCCTTAAATGTGCTACAAAGAGAACAGATGTGAAGGGCAAGGTTTCTGAACTGCAAGAGCCAGACTTCTGAGCATCAAAAGCTAGACTTGGAGAGTCTCAGAGCATAATGTTTTATCATTAAGAAATACATGAAGTGTGAATTGCCAACCTGCCTTAATCCAGTTTTAAATACAAATGTAAAAGCATACATGTTAAGATTAAGAGGCATTATAAGATCTGAGAACAGGAGTCATCAGAGGGCAAGGCCTTATAAAGACATTTCTGGAGATTAGCTCGGCACTGAAGAACCTGGTAGGACTCCCAGCAGCAGAGGCTCATGGACTTTTTTTCTTACATCTTTTTGTCTTCGTTGGTATAGAGGCTGTACAAAACAATTAAACGGGAAAAATGAGCAAGTCACACTTAGTAATCAAAAAACACTCATCAGGAGCTCTCATATAATATTACATAATACCTCATTTAATTAGAAGGAATAGCCATAGCACATGGTCTTTGTTATAGTGGATGTGTGGCCACTCAATAAGGCCTATATTTCCAATATATGTGTATATTTTCAACATATATATAAAATTATCTGGGTGTGGTGGCACATACCTGTAGTCCCACCTACTCTGGAGGCTGAAGTGGAAGGATCTCTTGAGCCTGGGAGGTTGAGGTTGCAGTGAGCTATGATTATACCAATGCACTCTAGCCTGGGCAACAGAGTGAGACCTTGTCTGTAAAAAATATATGTGTGTATATCCATATAAAATGCAGATTCTGACTTAGTAGATCTGCATAACGGGGTCTGAGATACTGCATTTCTAACAGTCCTCCAGAAGATGCTGAGGCTGCTGGTCTACAGACCATATTTTGAGTAATAAGGTTCTAGAAGGCTCAATTTCCAAGCCATGTAATTGCAATCTTTAAGAATATTTTGATTCTTTGCCTATGGTGCCTGATTTTACTAAACTCTTCTCTCCTGGGCCTCCAAAATACCCAATACATATGAGAATATAGTCAGAGACCCTGGGTCTCTTAAGGGTCAAGAGAGGCCCAGCATTTTCAGCTTTGAGATTTAGTGTATTATAAATGAGGAAATGCTAAAGAAGTTTATCTTAAACTGGTAGGTTTAGAATATTAACATTCACCACAATGAAACTTTTATCACTTAAAAGAATACAGCACAATAAAATTGTTCCACTTACACAGTGTTTCAATTTATATAATTTCATATTCTACTCTAAGTGGTTTGATTGTGAAATTAAAAATATAAAACATATCTCTTTAAACCCTGTAAACATATATCTGAAATCAACAACTTTATTTGGAAAGAGCTTCAAAAGTCTATGTTAGAATTGTTTATGACTCTGAGGCTGGCACCATATGAATTTTGCATTGGTACCATTGATGGGCTCTGCTCTTTCAACTTTGAGATTTCATGAGTAGCACTACCTTCATCTGCCTCCAGTCACTTAGGAATATATTTGATAACAAATAACAATGCCAGTAGTCTCACTGTTTTTTATAAAGGAACAGATTTCTGGAGGTTCTTACTCCATCATTCAAGAAGTCTGATTTTCTGACAATGTGGCCTTTAATGGAAGGCTCTTCTCATCATCAACCTATTAGTAGACACACAACAAAGTTATGGCAAATGGTACTAAAAAAGTAGTTTGCTGGGATGTCCTGAAAAAGAGTTCCCACCATAAAGAAAAAAAACAGGAAAATGTTTCCCCCATGCCACTACACAACTCCTGATATTGAAAACAGCTTTTCATGAGTACAATGCTTACAACTATTATAATCCTCTTGTAACTCTCTATGATCAACAGAGACCTCATCCAGTCTCCTGACTTCTCTGCAAATCTGACATTGGAAATGACCTAATTCCAGCAGAAGTTCTTGTGGTAGCATTCATAGATGTCAATAGCTAGGCCTTATTAGAAAAGGGATTGAGGGAGATGTGAGATTTCCCTTCTTGTAAATGCTGTCCAGGTTTCCCCCGAAAGAGGCAAAACGAACGCTACCAAATGGTAGACTTTCCTTGGTCTAGATTGAGATAAATTTTAGAGGTCACTATGAGACAGGACACTGTGGCATAGTATCAAACACTAGAATGATCAGAAACAAGAACTAGAACCTATCCTTGTTCTACCATTGATAGATTTCTATATCTTAGGTAAATCCTTTTTTTTTCTCTGAGATTTTCATCTTTCCTTGTAAACTTAGGAGCTTGGAATAGTCACTCTCTAGGTTACCTTTAACTCCAAGAGTCAGTTGTCTCATCCTAGTCTGCTTGGTTCTGTGTCAATTAAAGCATCAAACAAAATGTAACTCAGATTTTAAGACACAACTACCTAGAATTATTGAAATATTTGTTTATTTGTTGTTTATTGATGAATCCTTCCATCCATATATTCATTTTTAATGTATGAGAGCCCTCAGGGAAGATGGTTATTTTTTATTAGGATAATTTCACTGTGATTCTTCAGTTAGGTAGTGCTGTTGTAACTGAACGCAGGTTTAGATGCTCACTACTTGCAAAGTCAAATAACAAGGATGAGATTCAGTAGGAAGAAAGAGACTTTATTTTCCAAAGCTAGCAAGGGGTAAATGGTTCAGATTCCTGCCTTAATGGAGCAACTTCAAATTTTGGGCAGAAATCAAGGGTTTAAAAGGGGAAGTTTGGCATGAGGGGTATGCAGAGGGCAGGGGCGGTGAGGCAGTGCAGGTCTACACGACTTGTTCTGATGACTAATCGTGAGTTATTGCCTATCTGGTGAATGGGCTGGTGCCACTGCAGGCACAAGCAGGTTGTAAGTTAACTGCAGCCTTGAAGTAATCTAGTGGGGAAGAATTTCATAGGCACCTGGATCATTTCAAGATTCAGTCTCTGAAACTTCTAAGCAAACATGTAGTTAGAAAAGCTAGCAGCTCAAGGGGTAACTGGTGGAAAAAGAGCAGAGGTTATAATCACATTCCTAAGGTACTAAGTAAGGAGTCAGCACACATGAAAAACAAGAAAAGGAGAAAGGGATTTGTTTGTTTGTTTGTTAGTTTGTTTTGAGACAGAGTCTTGCTCTGTCACCCAGGGTAGAGTACAGTGGCATGATCTCGCTCACTGCAACCTCTGCCTCCCAGGTTCAAGTGATTCTCTTGCCTCAGCCTCCTGAGTAGCTGGGACTACAGGCACATACCACCACACCCAGCTAATTTTTGTATTTTTAGTAGAGATGGGGTTTTGCCATGTTGGGCAGGCTGGTCTCGAACTCCTGACTTCCGGTGATCTGCCTGCCTCAACCTCCCAAAGTGCTGGGATTACAAGTGTAAGCCACCATGCCCAGCCGGGAAAAGCTGTTTTTAAGAAGACAGGGTACTTGGTTATACTATTCCAACCTGGATATCCTTGTACTTGGCTTTCAGAGTAATTAAACATTCCATTTACCCTTGATATGTTAAATATCTGAAAATGATATAATTCTTTGTAAGTAGATGGTATAGAATTGAATAGGAACAATTATTAGAGAAATGCAGTGAAAATGTAGGGAACCACTGGATGAGGAATGATAGTAAAAGAGAATGGTAATCTCAGCAATTTTTGAGTATCATCATTTCGTCCACTGGAGATAATATGTTTTAAAAGGATGTAAGCATTTGCATTATTCTCTATTTTCACAGATGTTACTATTAATATTGCTCTGTGTGTGTGTGTGTGTATGTGTATGAGAGAGCGATCCCTTGAGTAAGTACAACCACATTAGGGCTCTTCAGTTGTTAGGCAGTTCTTCCATTCAGATATAATGTAGATTTTGGAGAAGCTTGTTTAGGATTTTGCCTGTTAGTCATAACTCCCTACATAAGGAGAAATAGGGTAAACTGTTCATTTTAATGATTTTTAGCTCTCTGTTCTAGGACATATTCAGCAGTTCTTCAAATTAGCTGTCATAATAAAATATATTTTACTTTGGGGACAATTAGCACCATCTTGTCAAGACAGATTTATCTTTGCAACTCACCTGCATGGATGTTCAGGGATCACAAAACAACAGGATGAGCCATATTTTGTAGAGCCGTTGAATTAGTCCGTTCTCACGCTGCTGATAAAGACATGCCTGAGACTGGGTAAATTATAAAGGAAAGAGGTTTAATTAACTCACAGTTCAGTATGGCTGGGGAGGCCTCAGGAAACTTACAATCATGGCAGAGGGGGAAGCAAACACGTCTTTCTGCACATGGTGACAGTAAGGAGAAGTGCTGAGCAAAAGGGCGAAAAGTCCCTTATAAAACTATCAGACCTTGTGAGAACTCACTCGCTATCACAAGAACAGCAGCACTGGGTTAACCAGCCCCATGATTCAATTACTTCCCACTGAGTCCCTCCCATGACACATGGGGATTATTGGAACTACAATTCAAGACGAGATTTGGGTGGGGACACAGCCAAACTATATCAGCTATGTTCTGAAATCTTGCTGGATGTCGCCCTGCTTCTTCCAACCTTGGTGCTGGCTAGCCAGAGAGTGTGGTGGCCCTGTATGAGTGACTTTCTTTGACAAGTGCTGTTTATTGTCATTCTGGATACGAGACTATGTCTTAACATGTTGTGTGGGAGCTGAAAGACAGACTGTGCATGGACATTGATTGGTGAGAGCTCTTCTTGGGTGTTTGGACAGCCTCAGGATTTAGGGCCTGAACCCTTGGCAAAATGAATAATAGCCTTGCAATATAATAAGATCAGAATCTCTCTGTATGCCCCATGTTTTCTCATCTTTTACTAATGAGGAAGGTACATGCCAAGCTTTTGACAGGGAAAAGCTAGAGGAAAATAAAGGGAAAAACAAATGCCCAACACTAATAATTCCCCTGTGTCAGTCAAGGCTGTTTAATGCTGTTGTTTACATAAATTTCATTTCCTGAAGTCAGTGGTTTTAATTTAACTTATTGAAATGCCCCATTGGCCCCAGGGTATGCCATAGTAAAAGGGGTGTCATAAATCTGGAGTTTGCAGTGAGAATGGCTTTTGTGCACAGCCTTCTGCCTCTCATGTTTCAATCTCAGTGTGGGCAGGGAAGAAAGTTCAGATCTTCAGCAAAAATGAAAACTCCCAATGCCTTTGTTGTTGTTGTTATTGTTGGAGGTGAGAAGGTCAACTTACGGAAGACCTATTTTCATATACCAGATATTTGTGCTGTCTACATTTTGTTCTCCCTTTATTTAAAACCCAAAACAGATCATCTGAAGCACACTGTCCAGCTGTTAGATAGAAAATATTTATATCTTGATATAATTTCTTATGGCATTTTAAACTTCATCATTTTAACAGTACCTTTAAATATTTATTGGCAAAGAGGCAGTGTTTTCTTTAACTTCCTCTTGGAGAATCTGGGAACTCTTAAGCCATTATTTATGACCTTCATTTGAATATGATCTCCTTCAAGAGTGTGGCACTTTAAAACTGAAATTTGGCTGTTTCTGCAGGGATATGGTAAAATATATAGCTAGAAAAGTATTGAGTTATTTTAAAGGAAAAAAGATTGCTTAATGAGTATTATAGATGATGTTTAGGGATTATGATTCATAGGAGGCTTGATCTTTTCCTCACCCTTTAACTGCCTTCAAAATTTCTCCTTCAGTTCTGATTAAATATGATGGATCAAACACGAGCATTTATCTCCTTGTCCTCTGAGAATCTAACTAAAATAGTTAAGGGATTAAAAAAACAGATTGAAACCTTGAAGGACAAAGAACATGAGCAAAGACAAAAGCATAAAAAATATTGGAAACAGGAGCTTCTGGACATGGGGCAAGTGATTTAGCAGACCTTAGAAAGGGGGCTGTAAGCAAGCAGGGGGAGAAGCTGAGATTTTGATTTGTATTGCAGGCCCCTTTAAGGCACAGAAATTGGTACCATCAGGTACATTTGAAAGTGAGGATATTCTCATTGTTCAATTCCCACCTATGACTGAGAACATATGGACACAGGAAGGGGAACATCACACACTGGGGCATGTTGTGGGGTGGGGGGATGGGGGAGGGATAGCATTAGGAGATATACCTAATGTTAAATGAAGAGTTACTGGGTGCAGCACACCAACATGGCACATGTATACATATGTAACAAACCTGCACGTTGTGCACATGTACCCTAAAACTTAAAGTATAATAATAATAAAAAAAAGAAAGTGAAGGTAATGGTGGGGTTGAAAACAGGATAGGCTGAAAGTCTGATGTTTAGTAGTTCAGATCTCATGTCCTACATACTACTCTTTTTTTTTTTTTTTTTTTTTTTTTTTGAGACAGAGTCTTGCTCTGTCGCCCAGACTGGAGTGCAGTGGCGCGATCTCGGCTCACTGCAAGCTCTGCCTCCCAGGTTCACGCCATTCTCCTGCCTCAGCCTCCCGAGTAGCTGGGACTACAGGTACCCGCCACCACGCCTGGCTAATTTTTTATATTTTTAGTAGAGACGGGATTTCCCCGTGTTCGCCACGATGGTCTGGATCTCCTGACCTCGTGATCCGCCTGCCTCGGCCTCCCAAAGTGCTGGGATTACAGGCGTAAGCCACCATCCCCAGTCCACATATCACTCTTTCCACCTGAAAGACTTCCTTCCTCAACCCCAAATAAAAGGAGCAGAGGTTTATTTTCAGGAGAAAGAATAGCCTGTGTTGGGAACATATCACAGCTGAGGTTATGGTTACCTTACTGATAACACAGGATGATGTAGAATGTTGTTAGGAACGTTGAAATTCCCAAATTTCTTCCCTCACTGGGCTCTAGGAATAGTTGCAGCTATTCTAATTCCCTTCAAGCAGAGATTGAAATATTCTCCTTGGTTATCTGACTAACATGATATTCTCCTTGGTTATCTGACTAACATGATATTCTCCTAGGTTATCTGACTAACATGATATTCTCCTTGGTTATCTGACTAACATGATATTCTCCTAGGTTATCTGACTAACGTGATATTCTCCTTGGTTATCTGACTAACACGATATTCTCCTTGGTTATCTAACACACAAAAAAAATAATTACTGAAGGAGCTGATTACTACTCAGCTTCTGAATGATCCACTCTCTTATACGAACAGATAGCCAAGGATCTTCAGTCATGTTTTTAGCAAAACCAGCATCACATATGGCAGATTAACACACAACAATCAAATACACAGAGAAACAACTTCACTAGCATTCTCAAAAAGATAGCATCCAGTTTGGAGATCACAGATATTGTATATTCTATTTAAAAGGTATTTTTAGAGAAAATAGGATTAAAAGAAATTGTTTTAGAGATGGGGTCTTGCTCTCTTACCCAGGCTGGAGTAGAGTGGCATGTTCATAGCACACTGCAGCCTCAAATTCCTGGACTCAAGTGATCCTTCTGTTTTGGCCTCCCAAAGGGCTGGGATTACAGGCATAAGTCACCCTGCCTGGCTGAAAATAGGTTTCAAAAATAGAGTAGCAGAAATTTATAAAAATCAGTAGGAGGGTAAGAAGACAAAGCTGAGAATAACTTAGAAAGTAAACAATATTAATAGGTATTAACACTAACACAGGTAATTATAAGAAGTAAGGAAACTGTCAAAGTATAGGAGCATTCTAATAGGTTCACTATCTAAGGAGTAATATTCAGAAAAGGAAAAGAGAAAAACTGACGGGAGAAAATGATACACAATGTAGAAAAAATTTCTAGAGTTGAGGAACATGAGTTTCCTTACTGAAATGGCCTACCACATGAACAGCAATTTTTTTTGAAAATGGACACCCAGCAATTCACAGTGTGGTATAATTTCAGGACATGAGAGAATATGCTAAGATCCTAAAATTTTCAAGAGATTAAAAAGCAACTACAAATATAACAATAGCTTAACAAAGACAATTTTATACAAAGAGTCAAAATGAGAGTAAAACTAAACTTTCTCACTGCAAAAAATGGAGGCCAGAACACAAGGCGGAAATGCTTCCAAATGGTGGAGGGACAGTGACTTGAACCTAACCTTCTATAGCCCCAAACCATCAAAAAGTGAGATGGTATGAACAACATTTCAAACACAGAAATTCTTTAAAAACAAAATCAAAAATCCAAACTGTTCATCATTCTCCCTCGATTAGGAAGCTACCAGTAGGATCACTACCTACGATATTCATGGTAAACACAAAATAAATATACTATAAAATAGAACTTAAAAGTCATGCTGAATGAAACTCAACCTCTTGTTAATTCTAAGTCAATAAATTTAGGTTTTATTTCCTCAGCTACAACTAAAGATTTGTAGAGATGGCTGTTGAATTATTTGCAATAGGGTGTTTTTTTTCTCCAACACTAAAATCAGCCTTTTGGGGCTTCAAGAGAGGCCATTTTGGATATGTGGGAGCATCTTTTCATGCCCTTCTCAGAGAGACACTAATAACTCTGACAGCTGAAGACTGTAGGCTGTTCAAATCTCAAAAACAGCATTGCCAGCCAGCTGACTGAGAGCACCCAGTGTTGGCGTACGTCAGAATATTTACTGAGCTCACGCTTCAGCCTGCTTCCTTTGGGGCATTATCCTTTGCACTGCAGGCAAACAGCCTTCCTTTGGTTTGTGCAATCTATGTATCCACACTTTATGAAAATAGGATGCATCTTTGTGTGCTATTTTAAATGAGTTTGCTTAGTAAAGGCAACACATAACTAGAAAAGAAAGCTGACCACTGACAATATCTTACATTTGAATAATCCCTTGTAAAGCACTTTGTCCCTATAAAGCACTTTAGCAAACTATTTTATTTGACCCTTAAAACAGGACCATGAAGTAGAAAGCTCTTTTCTGGTTTAGTGACTAAGAAAATTCTAAAGCGAATTAGGAGCTAGAAAGAGTTAGGTCCTGGGACTCTGGATTTTCAGTTGCGTGCCCTTTACTCTGTCACTGGGATTCTAAAGAAGAAGTAGAAAGTGCCTTTGAGGTTTTAGTCCCCTTCATCTTTATTTATCTCTACCGTAGGAAGAGCACTTCCTTTGGGCTCCCCAGGTTGACTTGCTTTTACTTGATGGCCATTATATTTTAGAACTGTGTATTATTATTAATAGAACAATTAATAATAGTACACAGCACTTATAAGTTGATTTCACAGTTGACCCTTGAATAACATAGGTTTGAGCTACGGGGGTCCACTTATATGCAATTTTTTTTTTTTAATAAAGGTTGCACCAAGTGTGCCTGCCTCTCCTTCTACTACTTCTACCTCTGCCACCCCTGATACAGCAAGACCTGACCCCTCTTTTTCCTCTTCATCCTTAGCCTACCCGAAAATGATGAGGGAGAATGAAGACCTTTATGATTATCCATTTTCACTTAATGAATAGTTAATATGTTTTATTTTCCTTATGAATTCCTTAACATTTTCTTTTATCTAGCTTACTTTATTGTAAGAATACAGTATATAAGAAATATAACATACGAAATATTTGGTAACTGTTATCAGTAAGGCTTTCAGTGAGCTGTAGGCTATTAGTGAAGTTTTGGGGAATCAAAATTTACATGCAGATTTCTGACTGCCTAGGGAAAGGGGGTTTGGTGCTCTAACCTCCACATTGTTCAAGGGTCAACTGTATATTCCTTTTCACTTGTCCCTGCTGCCCCACATATAAGTTAGTCCCATTTATTTTCAAGAACATTAAAAACTTTTAAACATTCCCTTCTCCTCCCTCAACAGAATACTCTATTGGTGTATGTTCTGGATCTACCTAACCTCAAACAGCTGAGTACTCAAGCAAGTCACTTTCCTTTTCTGGAAATATATTAACTATTTAAAATCAAACAAAAGAGTCTAGCTAGATATTTTCTAAGATTCTTCCAACTCTAGTATCTCTATTCCACAGTTCTGCTTATGTCCCAGATTTGATGAGGTTACATTGCTTAGACAAAGGAATGGGACGCATTTTAAGGCTTTGCTAGATGGTCATCTAAGAAAATAAGAAGGAAAAAGGAAGGGAGACAGCAAGAATGTTTCTTTTTCACAAAAGAAAATATAAGTAACAGCCATCCTTTCTTTTGATCACTTAACTATATGCCAAGTACGTTTCTGGGTATATTACATAGATTACCACTAATCTTCATAAAATCTCTTTAAGATGGTGGCATTGTCTTAATTTCTGTAACCATTTTTTTTTTTAAAATAGATTATTCATACATAAGCAACACGTAAAAGAAAAAATTATAAAGAGCATTATAAGATTGAAAAGCAAAATTGCCTCTACTATGTCTATCCATTTGCAGACCAATTCCTAAGAGCTAATGCAGGACATACCTATGTGTCCTTTCCAGTGAGAGTAAATGGCTAGAAGCAGGATTGTTAGGATGAAAAATACACACATTTTAATATTTAAAAATGGTACCATAGTTCCCCCTTATCCACAGGGGATACGTTCCAAGACCTTCAGTGAATGCTTGAAACTTCAGGTAGTAATGAACCATGTATATACTATGTGTGAATTCTTTTCCTTCTTCAAAATTGCAGTGACCTCAGCATATAACTTTTTCTTTTTAAAAAGTCAAACTTTCACCTTTTCACTTAAAAGAAGAACTTTATGGCTTCTCTTTGACATATCTAAATTATCAGCATTACTATTCTTGTGCCTTGGGACCATTATTAAGTAAAATAAAGGTTACTTGTAACCAAGCACTGCAGTTCTGCCACAATGGATCTAATAACTGAGACGGCTACTAAGTTACTAACAGGTGGCTACTGTAGAGAACATGGGTCCACTGGGCACAGGGATGGATTACATCCCAGTCGGGAGGGAATGGTACAGTGTATGATTTCATCATGCTATTCTGCACACACACTTTACAGCTTAAGAATTGCTTATTTCTGGAATTTTCCATTTGGTATTTTCGGACCACAGTTGACTGCAGGTAATTTTCTGAAACTGCAGAAAGTGAAATTAGATGAAGTAGGGGAGACTTGTATTTTCCTAAAATGTACCAATTTACATTTCCACCAATATGCAAGCAATATTTTCTGACAAACCTATTTCCCTTTGTGGTTTATGTCTCACAAGCTAGTCAATACTGGGTATCATTAAACCTTTAAATCTATATTATGCTAATAGGTAGAAAATGTATTTTAATGATTTAAATTCTTAAAGGTACAAACACTTATTGGCCAATTGCATTTTTTTTTGTGAAATGCCTTATTGTGTACTTTGTTTTGTTTTTATTAAGTTACTTATCTTTGTCTTCCTTGTTTGTGAAAGCTCTTTGTATACTAAAAAAGCTTAGGCCCTGTGTTACAGGGATGTGTGTTAGAAATATTTCTCAAATTTGTTTCATGGTATTTTCCCAGTATTTTAAACCTTTTTTCATTATTGTGTTGAATTTATTTTCTTTCCAGCTTTATTGAGATATGATTAACAAATGAAGTATGCATCCTTTATTCTCTATGATTGATGGGGTGAAAAATTGCATCAATTTTGCATCTATCTAGAATATACAAAAAATGGGATATTTTGACATATGTATACACTGCAAAATAATCACCACAATCATGCTAAATAACATCACCTTACATTGTTCCTTTGTGGGGTGTGTGTGTGTGTGTGTGTGTGTGTGTGTGTGTGTGTGTGTGGTGAGAATACTTGAGACCTCCTCTTAGCAAGGTTCAAATATACATTATATTAACTATAGTTAACCTGCTGTACATTAGGTCTCCATTACTTATTTGTCTTATAGCTGAAGGTTTTGTACTCTTGGACCAATAGTTCCCCTTTCTTCTACCTTCCAGCTCCGTGTAACCCCTACTCTCTGTTACTATAAGCTAGACTTAAATTTTTTTTTTAAGATTCTATGTACAAGTGACATTATGCAGTATTTTTCTGAGTCTGGCTTATTTCACTTAGCCCTAATGTCTTCAAGGTTCATCTATGTTTTGGCAAGTGGTCGGAATTCTTTCTTTCTAAAGGCCAAATATTATTCCTGTATCATGTGTGTCTGTGTATAAAACCATATTTTTTAACCTGTTCATCCATCAATGGACACTTAGGTTGTTTCCATATCTTGGCTATTGTGACACTGCATTGAACATGGGAATGCAGATATCCTGTAAAGATATATTTCTTTTGGCTCTGTACCTGGAAATAGATTGCTGCGTCATGTGGTAATTCACTTTTTAAGTGTTTGAGGAATTTCTAAACTGTTTTCCATAAACAGCTATACCAATTTACATTCCCACCAATAGTGTACAAGGGTTCCCTTTCATGTATCTTCACCAATACTTGCTATCTTTGACATTTTGTTAATAGCCATCCGAACAGGTTGTGAGGTGATATTTTAATGTGCTATTGATTTCGATTTCCCTGAAGATCAATGATATTGAGCATGTTTTATATACCTGTTAGCCATTTGCATGTCTTCTTTTGAGAAATGTTTATTTAGTTCCTTTGCCCATTTAAAAATAGGATTGTTTGGTTTTTTGGCTATTAAGTTGTATAGGTTCTTTAGATCTGAATCCCTTATCAGATATATGGTTTACAAATATTTTATGTCATTCTATAGGTTGCCTTTTCATTGTATTGAATGTTTCCTTTGCTCTGTAGAAATGTTTAGTTTCATGTAGTCTCACATATATGTTTTTGCATTTGTTGCATGTGCTGTTGGTATCAAATCTAAAACATAATTGCTGAGAATAATGTCAATAATCTTTTCCCTGATGTTTCCTCTAGGAGTTTTATGGTTTCAAGTCTTACATTTACATCTCTAATCCATTTTGAATTGATTTTTGTATGCAGTTTAAGAGAAGGGTCATTTCATTCTTTTGTGTGTAGATATCCAGTTTTCCCAACATCATTTATTGAAGAGTCTATGCTTTCCCCATTGTGTACTTCTGGTTCCTTTGTCAAAAAGTAGTTGGCTGGTACATACATGAATATTTCTGGACTCTATTCTCTTCCATTAGCCTATGTGTCTGTTGTTAAGTCAATAACATACTATATTTATTACTATAGCTTTGTAATATAGTTTAAAATCAAAGTATAATGCTTCCAGCTTTGTTTTTTGCTCCAGATTGCTTTAGCTATTTGAATTCTTGTGGTTCCAAATGAATTTTAGTTTTTTTCTATTTCTGTAAAACAAGCCATTTAAATTTCGATAGGTATACACTGAATATGTAGATTGCTTTGGCTAATATGAACATCTTAACAATATCTTTTCAATCCATGAAGACTGAATATCTTCCCATTTATTTGTGTTTTCTATAATTTATTTATCTATGTTTTATAGATTTTAGTGTACATACCTTTTACTTCCTTGGTTACATTTATTCCTAAGTATTATTTTTGACATTGTAAGTGGAATTTCTTTTTTAAATAGTTCATTGTTAGTATATAGAAATAAAACTGATCTTTGTATGTTGATTTTTATATCCTGCAACTTTACTGAATTTGTTAATTCTAACAATGTTTGCTTATTCTAAAAGCATTTTCTATATATAAGATCAGGTCATTTGAAAATGAGAACAATTTAACTTCTTCCTTTCCAATCTGGATGCCTTCTATTTCTTAGCTATTTCCTCTGCCTAGGACTTTAAGTACTATGTTAAATAGAAGCATAAGGGTGAGCATCCTTATATTGTTCCTGATCTTAAAGAAAAGGCTTTCAATTTGTCACTGTTGAGAATGATAGCTGTGGGGTTATCATACATGGCCTTCATGGTGTTGGGATACATTCATCCTATCCCTATTTTGTTGTGAGTTTTTAATCACGAAGTGATGTTGAAATTTGTCAAATGCTTTTCCAGCATGTATTGAGATGATCTTGTGGTTTTTGTTCTTCATCGTGTTTATATAGTTTATCACATTTATTGATTTGAATTTGTTGAACCAACCTTGTATTCCATGGATAAATCCCACTTCATCATGGTGTATGATCCTTTTACTATGCTGTTAAATCTGGTTTGCTAATATTTTATTTAGGTCTTTTGCTTCTGTGTTAATTAGGAATATATTGGTCTATAATTTCCTTTTCTTACAGTGCCCTTTTCTGGCTTTAATTTCAGGGTAATGGTGGCTTGTAAAATGAGTTTGGGAGTATTCCCTCCTCTTCAATTTGTATTAAAAAGTTTGAGAAAAACTGATATTGGTTCTTCTTCAAATGTTTGGTATAATTCAGCCATGAAGCCATCAGTTTCTGCATTTATCTTTGGGAGATCTTTCAGTACTGATTCAATCTCCTTACCTATTATCAGTCTTCTCAGGTTTTCAATTTCATGATTCAGTCTTAGTGGGTTGCATGTTTCAAAACTAAATTTATTCATTTCTCCTAGGTTATCCAATTTGTTGATGTATAATTGTTCATTGCAAGTCTCCTATGATCCTTTGTATTTCTGCAATATCAGTTGTAATGTCCCCTCTTTCATTTCTGATTTTGAGTCTTCTCTTTTTTTTTAAGTCCAGCTAATGACTTGTCAATTATGTTTATCTATTCAAATAACCATCTCTAAACTTTTTAATGTTTTATTGTTTTATGGTCTCTATTTTTTCTGTTCTAATCCTCATTTTTTCCCTTTTACTAACTTTAGGCTTAGTTTGTTCTTTTTCTAGTTCCTTGAAGTACAACATTAGGTTGTTTATTCAAGATATTTCTTTTTAATGTAGGCATTTATCACTATAAACTTCTTTCTTAGAACTGCTTTTGCTACATCACATTAGTTTGGGCATGTTGTGTTTCTATGTTTGTCTTAAGATTTAAAAAAAATTTCCTTTTTGATTTCTTCTTTGACCTGTTGATTGTTTAGGAGAATGGTGTTTAATTTCCACATAATTGTGAATTTTCAAGGTTTTTCCTGTAATTGATTTCTAGTTTCATACTACTGCGATTGGAAAAAATATTTGATATGATTCCAATCATCTTAAACTTGTTAAGACTTATTTTGGAGTCTAATATGTGACGTATCCTAAAGAATTTTGCATGTTAATTTCAGAAAAATGTGTATTCTGCTGCTGTTAAACGAAATGTTCTCTATTTGTGTGTGGGGTTCATTTGGTCTAAAATGTAGCTCAAGTCTGAATTAAGCCATTCTTTCTTTGCTAAAAAGGAATACCTGAAGCTGTATAATTTATAAAGAAAAGAAGTTTAATTGGCTCTTGGTTCTGCAGGCTGTAGAGAAAGCATAGTGCTGGCATCTGCATCTGGTGAGGACCTCAGGAAGCTTACAATCATAGTGGCAGGTCATGGGAAGCAATCATTTCACATGGCAAGAATGGGTGCAAGAGAGTGAGGGAGGAGGTGCCACACACTTTTAAACAAACAGATCTCTTGTGAACTGAGTGAGAACTAACTTATCACCAAACGGATGGTGCTAAACCATTCATGAAGGATCTGTCCCCATGATCCAATCACCTCCCATGAGGCCCCACCTCCAATACTGGGGATTACATTTCAACATTAGATTTGCAGGGGATAAATATCCAAATCATATCAAAGTCCAATGTTTCCTATTTTCTTTGTGTCTGAGTAATCTATTCACTGTTACAAGTGACATCCCCTACTATCACTGTACTGATGTCTATGTTTCCTTTCAGATCTGTAAATATTTGCTTTATATATTTAGGTGCTGCCATGTTGGGTGCACATATATTATAATTGTTCCATCCTCTTAATGAATCAACCCTGTATCATTATATAGCAACCTTTTTGTGTCTCTTTTTACAGTTTCTGACTTAAAGCCTGTTTTGTTCAAGTATAGCTAGTCTTATTCTCTTTTGTTTTCCATTTACTTTTCCCTTTACTTTGTGACCATGCATGTCCTTAAAGGCAAAGTGAGTCTCTTGTGAGGAACATACAGTTGCAGCTTTAAAAAGAATCCTTTCAGCTTCTTCTTTTTTTTTTTTCCAGGATGGGATGTCCTTTTGCAGAGGAAGCCCAGGTTGGACTTGAACTTCTGGGCTCAAGTTGCCCATGCTGGACTTGAACTCCTGGGCTCAAGTGGTCCTCTGGCCTCAGCCTCCCATGTAGCTGAGTCTACTGATGTATACCATCACACCTGGCTTTTTCTTTTCATTGGAAAATTTAGTCCATTTACATTTAAAGTAATTGTAATAGGTAAGGATTTACTGTTGTTATTTTGTTAATTGTTTTCTGGATGTTTTGTAGATCCTTTCTTCTTTCTGTTCTTTTTTGTGACTTGATGATTTCCTACAGAGTTGCACTTTGATTCCTTTTATCTTTTGTGTGTCTACTATAGACTTTAATTTTGTGGTTACTATGAAGCTTATGTAAACATTTTTATGGCATCTGTTTAAATAATGTAAAGTCCCTCACCAAAACTATAAAAATATTAAATGATTTCCTATAATGTGTTTATTTTTACTTTTTACATGTTTTATTTCTCATTTACTTGAAAAGCTTTTAGGTATTTTCAATATAAATAGTGTGGTCTGGCTGTAACTATAGTTCTTCTAATTCTATCTCCCCTTGATAGATGAACAATTGTCTGACATCATCCATCTAGTATCATTTTCTCCCGTACTTAGAAATCACCTTTATGATATAAATTTCTGCATATCTTTTGGACAATTTCTGGACTATTTATTCATAGTCCAATGCTTATTAAAATTCTGCTCAACTTATTTTCCTGAGTCAGCACTAAATTCTTTTGAATTTTTTTTTAGCTTTAAAAAGGTTGTATTTTTGGATGAAGTTAGTCCAATTCATTTATTTTTTTATGATTTTCTGGCTTGCATTAGATATTTATTTTACCAACTAAATGTGGTCATTGTGTGTTTTATACTTCTGACATACCATAGGATTAATACCTTAAATTTCTTTGCATCAGTATTTATATGTAAAAAATGTGGCAAAGATTTTTTTTTTTTGAAGGTGTGGGGAACTATCTTTGTCAGGTTTTGGTATCAATATTATATTATCTTCACAAAAAGAATCTCAGCCTTTTCCAAAGTAGGAATAATTCCTATTTTAATGATAATGTGACTGGAGCTACAAGAGGTTTAAGTAACTTTTCCAAGGGTACATACCTTTTAAAGAATAGAGATGTGATTTTTGCCCACTGAATATAGAAATGTTCATCTTGATTAGGTAAGCAGAGAGGCTAGAACATTTGCTCTAGAAAAAGACACCAGGTATCAATAACATCCCTTAAATCTATAAAATATATTCTGTATAATTTTATAATTTTTATGAATAATTATAATAAATTCATACAATCACATCATGGTTCTCAGATACTGCTCATGTCCATTATGTCATTTTTTTTTCTTGCCAGTACCCCTTCTATTACGAGGGAGGAAAATAAAACTCAGATTTCAGGAATCAATCAAGGTCATGTAGCAACCTGGTGGTCAGCCAGAGCTAGAAATTATCAAATATGATGATCCAGGTAAGTCCTCTTTCTGTTATGCTATATAGCCTTCTCTTAAGAGTATTACTGAAGAATTATCTGTAGTCTTTCCTCATTCAGAGGAATATGACAAGTTTTTCCACAAAGAGAGTCAACATATTTTGGTTGAAACTTCACCCTGTCAGAGAGGCTGCTTGCTACCATTAGAGCTTTTAAGCAAGGATGAGATAATCACAATAATTATCTTCCATTAGCAAAATGATCTGGCACCAGATTCTTCCTCCGGTTTTTGCAGCCTCCCTTCTGAAGCAGAGAGCATCTGAAATGGGCTTCCAGAACATTGCAGTGGAAAATAATCAGAAGTATAAAAATGAACTGGAGGAGGCTAAATTAGTCAAAGAGTCATGAGTGGTTAAGGACCCAAGATCAGGAAAATCTGATAATTTGGGTTAATATAATTTAGTTTTTGTCTTCTCAATGGATTCACTGTAGAGCAGCCTTCCAATTAGTATGCTTGCATCATACCCTCAATAAGGCAGACAACATTTCAGTATATCAATTCTACATTTATCCATCTAATTCATTTCCCCTAAGGGCAGTAAATAAAGCTTGTAAAATACTAATTGCTTTAATTCAAGGTTTAATGCAAACTCATTGTATTTCTGTTTCTCTGGGGAATTCAAAAAGGATTCACAACATATTGGCTAGATCTTTTGCCTCTTTTGCCTAGATCCAATTAGAAATTGAAATTCAAAAGATTTTTTTATTTGTCAGCATAAAAAAAATCACCACTTCTATCACCACCACAATCACAGTCAGCATTTTCACCATCTTTGTCATTAATTTTTTTACCGTTTACCTGTGTAATATGTTTGTATTCTTTGTGGATCTTGCAACTAAAGTCAGAGCCCATGGTTGCCTCAAGAGTGTTTAAAACAAAAGGAGAAAGTGCATTATCTTATTGATAAAACTATTCTCTGGCGGGCACGGTGGCTCACGCCTGTAATCCCAGCACTTTGGGAAGGCGAGGCGGGCAGATCATGAGGTCAGGAGATCGAGACCATCTGGCTAACACGGTGAAACCCCATCTCTAGTAAAAAGTACAAAAAAAAATTAGCCAGGTGTGGTGGGGGGCGCCTGTAGTCCCAGCTACTCAGGAGGCTGAGGCAGGAGAATGGCATGAGCTCCAGAGGCGGGGAGGCGGAGCTTGCAGTGAGCCGAGTTCGGCGCCACTGCACTCCAGTCTGGGCAACAGAGCGAGATTCCGTCTCAAAACAAACAAACAAACAAACAAAAACTATTCTCAATAAATATAAATGGTGCACTCCCTAAACTAATCATTGACAGCATTAACCCACTAGAGGAGTGCTAGCAAAAGAAAGAGTTGTAGGCTTATTAGATTAACCAGATTGTATGCTCCATGAATGCTGGGGCTATGTCTGTTTTGTTCACCACTATATACCCAGCACCAAATGCAGCATCTAGCACTTGGTTGGGACTCCATAAGTATTAAAGTGAAAGTTAAGACACAGAGTTAAGTAGAAGTTCTAGCTCTGTAGTTAAGGTTAATATATGCATGGCCCCAAACTCTACTGGACATTGAAATCTTCTGGAGCAAAATCACATTAAAATACTGATGTTTGGCTCCGTTCCCAGGGTTTTGATCAAACTGATATTAGACACAACCTTGTCAACTCAATTTTTAAAAGTTCTTTAGGTGATATCAATGTTCAACTTTTGGGAAACACGTTAATATAATTAAAAGAAGTCCAACTTTGCACACAAGGCAGTCCTAGCTTATGAGCTCATTATGCAATCAATCTAGTTTGCAAACATTTACTTAGCACCTGTTATGTATGAAGCATTCTACCTGGCTCTGGGGAATATGGATGGCATGAGACATGGCTCTTAGAGCTTCCTATTGATTTTGGAGATGAGTAAAACACTAAAAAATGATGCAAATTAAATAAAGTAAGGTGATATTATATGATATATTACAGAATATAATTGGTACTGTATATGATTTATAGTGAGACAACAAATATTAAGGAGCTTATAGAAAGGAGAAATCTCTCCTGAAGTTTTCAAGGAACACTCTACAGGGGAAGTGACTTTAAACTGGATCTTGAACAAAGTGTGTAGGAAGCAAGTATGCTATAAGATAGACAACAACCTAAAGATACTCCAAGAAGTGATACAATATCAGAAATGATATACTTTCAAAGCAATGCTAGATATATAATTCAAGAGTCTCCTTTATAGGTTGTTGAGGGGAAGGTTTCCAGAGCTTTGTCAGTGTCAACAACCATCAATACGGTGTTTGTCATAGGATCAGAATATTTAACTGGGAGCTGTTATTCAGACCTACGCTGGAAATTCTTAGTTGAGAGTTAATAAGGCAGTGAAAACAGAATGGTTCAACAGAGTGAAAAAAAAAAGACTATTTCCAGCAAAAGTAAGGGTGTGAACAAGGAAGGAATGGTTGGGATAAAGTTAGGGGTCATGGAAACAGATTTTCCTGGTGGGAAAGAAATGAGGTTGAAGTGGCTCCAACTGGGGTAGCTTAATAACTTAGGCCTTGTCTTGTGCCCTCTGCCTTTCCAGATGGTTATTAGCTGTCAGACAAAATTTAACCCAAGGGTCAATGTGCCTTAATTATTACCTTTGTAAAGTCTTGATGACTTGCTATTTATTTTTAATAAGCTTGTCATTCATTATATTTCTTACTTGAATGTCAAGATGATGAGGAAAGGAGGGGAGGCTTGCCTTAGTTCTCTCTCCTGTCATTACTGTCAAGCAGACATTATTGGAACCCTGTTTCTTAGCCACTGCTTTTGACAATCCATTCTTGATGAAAGAATAAAATGCATTCAGGGGTTGAGGGAGGGAGGGGAGAATACTAATTCCAGTAGTTCAAAACCCCAGCTCAATAAAGAATGAATTGAAAAGAATTAGAAAAGTGGAGGCCGGGCTATTGCTAGGGTCTGCTAATTTGGGCACTTGCCTTCAGGGCACCATGAGTTTATAAACAGATGGGAAGAAAGAGGTGCATTAGCTAATTCATACTAAAAAGGAAATAGATATATATATTTCAGTAAATATGTATATATTTTTATATATAAATATATATATTTCAGTAAAATATATATATATTTCAGTAAAATTCTTCAGTTCTCCTCCCTATAAAAGGCTGAGACTTCCTCTCTCTTTTATTTCACTCTTAGCTTAGGCGGCCCTTTAGTGTTTTTTTTTTTTCTTTTCTATTCATAGATTTCATTAGCATGGTAAAATGAGAATGGAAGGGAAGATGACTGGAGAGTGGGTGTAGGAATTAATAGAGTCCTAACTTTTCCCCATCTCTTAAGATGAGCTGAGTTGGGATTGGGGTGTTTACAATACAGCAGGATTGGCAAACTTTTTCTGTAAAGGACTGTAATAAAATAAATATTTTAGTCTTTGTAATTCACATATAGTCTCTGCCACACAGTCTGTTTTGTTGTTGGTGGTGTGTGTGTGTGTGTGTGTGTTTTAACAACCCTTTAGAAATATTTTTAAAAAGGCATTTTTAGCTTGTAAGCTGTTCAAAAATAGGCCGTGTGCCTCCATTAGGGAATATATCCTCTATGTGTTTTCACTGGTGTAGAGAAAGGCTCTTCTTTGCAACTCTCCACAGGTCTGAGAAAGGAGGAAAAGAGACAAAGAGAGTCAAAAGGTGCAGAACACCTCTGTATGTTCCATGAACTTCTCATTTCCTTTCCTTTACCTACAGAGACATGAAGAGTGCCTTTGTGAATTTTGTTGGGGGACATATGTGGGAATTTTCTTTTGGCTGTTTTTGGTTAACCTCCTAGGCTAATTGGAATTGAAGTCAATTCAGTATGGACTAAAAATATGAATAGCTAATATTCATTGAGTGTTTTCATGTTCCAGGCCTTGTTTTAAATGCTATAAAATGTGTTACTCATTTTGTTTCACTCAAGCTCCTATGAAGTAATTTTATCATTCTCATTTGACCTATGAGGAATCTGAGACACCAAGCAATTAAATTACTTGCCAAGGCCATGAGTTTATGAATGGCAGAACTTACTTGGATTTGAATTCATGTACTCTGGCTGCATGATCCACACTTTTAATTACAATGCCTTCTTACCACATATTGAATGTTGACAGGTAACAGCAATTTTTCATATTGTATGACTATGCCAGCCAGTAGAAGTCAGATTTTGCTGCAGTGACAAAGCACTCCCAAATCTTAGTGGCTTTACACAACAAAGATTTATTTCTACACTTTTGCTATATTTCACATGGTAGGAAATTCTCCACACAACCACTTAAGAGTTAGGTGGATGGAGTATATCTGCACCTTCTAGAATATGCAGATTCCTCAGTCTCTGTAGCAGGCTAGGAGAGAGACTGAGAATCTCAGGAAATTTTCATTGCTTCTACCCAGAAGTGATGGATGTCACTTCCCACATTTATTGTCCACAACTAGTCACTCCTCTCACCTAATCGAATTGGGGCTGGGAAATGTAGAAACACAAAGAGGCTATTTGATGTGTATTAGTCTCTGCGCTATAGCATTTTATACTGTTCAGTGCATCTTCATATACATTAGTTTGTTTGACCTTATTTAATTCTTTCAAGAAGACAAAACAGGCATTATTAATGCTGTTTTACAGATGAGGAGGTGAAAGTTAAAAGAGATGCAGTGATCAGCCCAAGAAGAATGACTGGCTAATAAGAAGAACAGGTCTTTGGGTTTAAGACAAATTTTGGTTTAAAGTTGGCTTCTGTTCCTTGTGACAAATTCTTTAACCTCTCAGAACCTCACTTTATTAATTTCTGTAGTATAATTGTCTCTGCTGTTAAATTACGTTTAGCCTAAGCCTTATGTATTCTACAGTTGGCCTAAAGGTTTCTAAGTGCATAGTAAAATGTAACTTAACTGGATGTGTAAACAGACTGTAACCTCCTCTTGGGCCAAATATGGAGTTTCAGCCAATCAAAGGTGGCCAACTATTCTAGCCATGCTCAAATAAGACAAATGCTGAGCTGTAACCAATCCTGCTGTTTCAGCACCTCACTTCTGTTTCCTGTATATTACTCTCCTTTTTCTGTCTCTAAATCTCCAATCACGCAGGTGCGCCAGAGCCTCTCTGAAACTATTCTGGTTCAGGGGCTGCCCAGTTCACACATTGTTCTTTGTTCAATTAAACTCTGTTCAAATTAATTTGTCTAAGGTTTATCTTTTAACACTACCTTATTGATTTGTCAAAAAAATAAATAACAGTTCCATAAAGTGCTTTGTATCATGCCTGACTGATGGAATAGGTTCAATGAAATGATAGCCGTCTTTGACAGTTTTCTCAAGGTTGCATATTTTGTTGGGACATTGGGAGAAGCATTCAGAGCTCCTGTCTCTGAATTGTTGTCCCACAGTTAGTGATAGTGGAAAACCATGCAACAGCAGTATAAGACAGGGTGTCTCCATAGGGCAGAGTTGAGATCTTTATACATCAAACAATGGGGGAATAATATACAACAGCACCTTTTGAAATGAGGCAAAGATGGTCACTGCTACGGCAATTTAGAAAGGAGTTTCTGTGGATTGAGATAGGAAAGGCTTGCAGGGGAGTTTAGCTGATCTCACCTGCTCTGTCATGTGTTCTGTATCATCCAGTGCCCCACCCTTCATCCTGGGCTCCTTCCTTTCCATATGCAGTCTCAGGATTGTAACAAAATGCCTAGCACTGATTATTCTCTCTATAGTGGTTCCTACCTGTTTTTGCTGAGATCCAGGCCCATATATGTCTACCTGACATTTCTGCCTGTTTTGTCCCACAGATATACTGAAATTATCATCTCCAAATGTGAGCTCCTTTTCTTCCTTAACTACAACTACTCGTTCTGTTCTATTAGTGTCAGTGATTAGTATAGCCATTCATCCAGAGGTCAAGCCAGAAATATTAGGGTCATTTTAGTGTTCTTCTTTGCATCCACTGAATACATCAACAAATTCTGCAACTTTTACCTCTTCTGTAATATATTTTCTCCCTATGTATCTGCTCCTCTCTATTCCCCTTTTGGCTAAGTCACTCACTAGTTCCAACCTGGGGACAATATTTATTTTTTAACTAGACTCCCTGCTTCCATTGTGGCCACACTCCAATCTATTCTCAAATCAAGCCAGAAGGAACTTTCTGAAATGCAAACCTGATTGTCTCCCTCTTTCATTTAGAGTCCTTCGATGGATCTCCAAAGTTTTTATTGGATAGGAAACACCTTATCTTAGTCACCAGACTATTTGTCAGCCCCTGGCTGCCCCTAATCTTAACTCTGGGCATGCCCACAAATTCAGCATTCATTCCAGCCAGGTCAAAATACTTGTAGTTTCCTGGACCCAGCCAACTCTCTCATGCATCAGTGCCTTCATACCCAGTAACTTTTGCCTCAAATGTCTTTTTCCCATGTCTTCAGTTCCTATCTGACCTTTAAAACTCAGCCCAAGAAGTAATTAATCTTCGGTTAAAGGTCTCCCTCTGTTTTCCTATAATCCTTAATTTGTTTTAAGGTCTTCCTCTATTCTGTAACACCCACCTATCACATGTACTATAATTCTTGGTATGTTTGTCTTTTCTACCCATTGGCTGCTAGATAGATTCTCTCTCCTAATTGAAGTAAAAGAGGCACACTCAGATTTCCTTTGATACCAAGGAAATGAGAAAGGACAAAAAATACTTCATTGGTTGTGAAGGCAGTCCTACTGGAGCACTAAAATGTCATTTATCATCATTTAGGTTTCAATAACTCTGTTCAGTAGCTGCTCTTGTGAATTAATAATAATTTTCTAGACTGCCTTATTGTGACTCAGCAGCAGCCCCAACTTTCCTTCCCTTTCTTACCTGCCTCTCCTCTTTGCTTTGCCAGCCACTCTGGCTTCTGCTTAGTAAAAGCTCCAGTTAGGTTGTGGCTTCTCATTATTCTCTATGCTTAGTGTGTTTTCCTCATTTGGTTTATGTTTTTTGCACACATATCTGTGCCTCTTGTGTTAAAAGTCCCTTGTAGTGGGGTTCACACATTATTCTCCAATACTGAGCATCCCTGTCTCATTCCAAACAAGTACAGACATCTGTTTGATTCCATCAGAATGGTGGTGGTGATGTCCCATGTTACAAATTACAACTACCTATACATAAGATTTCCTTCAGCATGAGGCTGTTGGCTTGACAAAAGTCCTAAGACAGGTCAGAAGGGGGTGTTTTGAGATAATTAAGGGTGCTGTGTCCCAGCTGATTAGGAGTATCCTAGTGTGTGTCCAGTAAATATTTGATGGATAAATGAATTAATTAACATTGAAGAATACTAGGATGAGGTTGAAGAGGGGAAGAAAAGGCATTGCTAATTGGTAGGAAGAGGGGGCACCCATAAGTCAGACTACATGTCTAAGGTCATTATTCAGAAGGATTTCAAAGTTGCCAATTTTGTATAGCAATGTGCTGGCAGACATCTTCAAAATGATTTGGGTTAGTTGACAGAGCATTTTGATAGCCTCTGGCGAGAAGCTGGTCTTGTTCTCTCTCTAATGCCATTAGTTTAGAAAACTTGATACGATACCTACATGGCCTACAATATATGTTTTGTGTTAGACAGGCTCTATATTTGATGATTATGGTGCCTACAACAATAATATTAAACTAATTCATTGTCATTATCTAGGTCTTTCAATTCTTGGGTGAGTAGCTTGAACTACTTAGTTGTTCTATTCACAGTGCCGACCTGAGGACAGGAAAGGGCAACTGATTCACAGAAATGGCTCTAGGGGCTGAGGCCTGCAGAAGCAAAAGGCTGTGTGGCCCAGCATCACTAATTTTGGGGGATGTCTAGGACTTTCAGGCCTTTTAAATCAAATTGACATAATTGGACAATTTCAGGATGTCTAGGACTATTTGGGGATGTCTAGCACGTTCAGGTCTTTTAACTCACATGGACATAATTGAACAATTGAGGAAATTTTCTGAAGATTTGGTTAAAAATAACTTTATGTCTCAAATTTCTGTGCATTTTAGATAAAACTATGTATAGTTAGCCCTTGAATGATACAGAGGTTAGGAGTGCTGACTGCCTGCTCCTATCCACCATGTAATGTAAAATCCACATATAACTTTGGACTCTCAAAAACTTTACTAATAACCTACAGTTGTCCTAAAGTCAATTAACACAAAACAGCCAATTAACACGTTTTGTATGTTTATGTATATATGCTGTATTATTATAATAAAGTAAGCTAGAGAGAAGAAAATGTTACTAAGAAAATCATAAGAGAGAATGTATTTACTTTTCATTAAGTGGAAGTGGATCATCATAAACATCTTTGTCCTTGTCTTCAGATTGAGTAGGCTGAGGAAGAAAAGGAGGGGTTTGTCCTGCTGTCTCTGGGGTAGCAGAAAATTCACAAATATGTGGTCCTGTGCAGTTCAAACCCATGTTGTTTAGGAGCCACTTGTGTGTGTATATATAAAAAATATGTACATATGTATATATGAATGTACATATGCATATACACATGTACATGTATGTAGGCATGTGTATGTGTGTGCATGTATGTGTATGTGCGTATAATATGTGTATAAAAATAATTTCTCATTGGATAAAGCTAATTAATAGGGAAAGGTTGTTGTCCACAAAATGAAGAATTAACTAAATTTTGAGGACTTTCTGAACCACGGTTTTTTGTTTGTTTGTTTGGCTTGGGCTGTTCTCTACAATTCTTGTGTATATCATTGGGGTACCTGAATGTTATGAGTATGTGGCAAATTTTTTTTCCTCTCCCTGGAACCCTGGCCTCATTGAAGTATTCTGTAGGAAGAACATGGGAGAATTGCGTGGATGGCAGCTCTCCTCAGAAATACCATATCCTAAGTTCCACCTGAGGTGACTCCTGGGGACTTTAGGTAGAGCAGATGGGATCCTGGCTTCCTTCCATGCTTAAGAGCTACAGGCATTTTATAGACAGGAACTATGTGTAGTGGGAAAAGCAGAGCGTTAGGAATTGGGAGAGGCAGATTTATCACTGTTTAACTGTGTGATATTACGAAGTCACTTAATTGATCTGGGCATTTTTTTTCCTTTGTTGTAAAATAAAAGGTCTGGATTAGGTGATCTGTTAATGGAAGGGATACGTTTATCTCCAAGTGCTATAACATCTAACTTAAGGCATAAGCTAGACAGTTTGTTCTTGGCTGATATAGACAATATCCTCATCCCAGGACACACCTACACCAACCTCTGTCTCTTTTAAAAATTCACTTTCATGGGAGTTTTACTTTTGTAATAGAGTTTTAGTTGACTTTTGGTGGGAAGATAAAAGTGTAGGGATTTTTTTCCTTGGACCGGGTCTTTCAAATGGGCTTTGAAGAATGAAATATTACAGTAAGAATGCAACTGTGCTTTTTGTTATAGGCTAAATTGTGGTCCTCTACCACCAAATTCATATGTTGAAGACCTAACACCTGGTACCTCAGAATTTGACCATATTTGGAGATAAGCTCTTTAAAGAGGCAGTTCAGTTGAAAGGAGGCCGTTAAGGTGTGGCCTTAATCCAGTATGTCTTATCTTCTTATGAGAAGAGGAAGAGATACCAGAGATGCTGCACACAGAGAAAAGACCATGTGAAACCCCAGCAAGGGTGGCCATCTGCAAGCCAAGAGAGGCCTCAGAAGGAACGAAACCTGCTAACACCTTAAACTTGGAGTTTCAGCCTTTAGAGCTGTGAGAAAACAAATGTCTGTTGTATAAGCTACTCTACAGTATTCCATTAGAACAGCCCTAGCAGATGGATACACTATTGTTCAAGAGAGCTGCTGTAGTGCCCTTAGCTCAGCAAAGCAGGTCCAAAATGGGGCACAGGGTGGGGAAGACAGACCTAATCCCTGACTCCCACAGCACCTGGAACCCCACAGCTGGGACTCTGGGCCCTTCCAGAGACAGCATTGCTTACCTAGACGTGGATCAATGGCTATAGTTCATCACCCCAAGAAGCATAGCAGGGAAGCAGAAAACGTGGTCACATGAGGGCCACAGATGGAGTGGGAGAATGAGGCAAGAGACTGGTAAAGAAGTACATACCGTGGGGACTCCAGAAACACTGGGCAGTCCTTTATATGGGGAGTGTTCTGCTCTCAGTTGGCTGTTGTCTTTTAAGCCAATGGACATTTGGATCATACAAGTATTACAAATAACCAAATTTCATCATTTTTTAATAAATGTATTTCCTGAACATACAAGCCCATATTTGGAAAAGCTTGCATGATCCCTTAAAAGTTGTCACCTCCTCTTTTGGTTACTAAGGACTCCCCAAGTCCAAACATAACAACATTGCCAAATGATTGATATTTGAACTATCATACTCTCTTCACGTAGCATAATTGTCCTGCACTTAAACCAAATCTCATATGCTTTAATGATTAGATCTTTTCACCCCCTTTAATTTATAAGGAAAATTGATTCTTTGGGTCAATATTCCCAGGGGCACAAGAATCTGGGCTGCTAGTGGAGTCTGAGTGGGATTGTCTGAATGTTAATTGTTGCTTCTGATGTCTCCTGGAGCAGAGATGCTGTGGTTATTTTCAAAGCCAAACTCTGGCTACATGTCAAAATCTACAGCAAAACACCAGAGCCATTTTTCTGCAGATACAAAATAAAAGAAGATTAATCACATTTGTCTCCTCTACTACCTTTTCAAGAGAAGTTTTTATTTTAAACAGCTGCTTGTTGACGACATTTGAAGGCTGTAGAGCATGTCAAAGGATGATGGAAAGTTTTGAAAAGGTCTGTGAAAATGCTCTATGCTTAGAACTCTCTCTACTCACATTAATTTTCTTTACTCAAGTTTTCATCAATAAACCAAATTGGGAAACAGATTTAGTTATGGACACCAGTGGTTTTCAAAGTGTGGTCCCCAGACCAGTAGCAGCAGCACCTGAGAACTTATTAGAAATTGAAGTCCTTGAGCCTCATCCCAGACCTACTGAATCTGAAACTCTAGAGGAGGCGGCCAGGCAATCTGTGTTTTAACAAGCCCCCCATGTGATCCTGGTGTAGTCTAGGAACCACTACTCTTGACAACTCCACTGTGAAAACTATTTTCTTGAAATTTCTGGGAAATCATTTCCATGGTCATTTATTCCCCTTTCCTAAGCTGTATTCACATACAAAAGATTCAGATCATCACATCCTAGCTCCTCCTCAGAGGATCTCTCCTGGAAACTGAGGTTCTTTCCCATGGACTTGTAATACTTATACCACTACAATTCTTCATCTACCTCCCTCACTTCTAAGGATCAAAAGGACTCAGAATATGCACCAGCTAGGTTCAGCAATTAAGTCTCTAATTTTTATGTGCGTGTGAGGATTTTGTCTCTGATTGTGATTTCCACAAAGCCTGCCAGTAGGGTTGAATACAAAGACTTTCCTTATAAATGACAGTGCAGTAAGTCTTCACTAATGTCATCATAGGTTCTTGGAAACTATGACTTTAAGTGAAACTACATACAGCAAGCAAGTCTTCAAATAGCATAACTCATTTGACATTGTTTTGTTATAATGTTAATGAGGGGAAAATGGTTTTGTTATATTTCCTTTCACTTATTTATTTTTGAGATAAGGTCTCACTCTGTCACTCAGGCTGGAGTGCGGTGGTGCAATGATGGCTCACTTCAGCCTCTGACTTCTGGGCTCAAGTGATTCTCCGCTTCAGCCTCCTGAGTAGCTTGAGTAGTTGGAATACAGGTGCGCAGCACCATGCCCAGCTAATTAATTTGTTTGTTTGTTTGTTTTTTTAGAGACAGGGTCTCCCCATTTCACACAGGCTGATCTCCATCTCCTGTACTCAAGAGATCTTCCACCTTGGCCTCCCAAAGTGCTGGGATTCCAGGCATGACACATTGTGCCTGGCTCATTTCACTTAAAGTTTCAATTTCCAAGAATCTACCAACAACGTTAAATGAGAACTTACTGTAATTGTTTTAAAGTGTTTGTATGGCCAGGCACAATGCTGACCACTTTACAAACTTTATTTTATTGGAGCTGAAAACAATCTATTCTACAGATGAGGAAATTAAGTCACAGAGAAGCAAAATAACTTTGCCAGCTTTAATCAGGGCCAGGGTTGTAGCTCTCACATAGTTCCTATTCAGCGCTGCTACTTGGAATAATGAACAAATACTTGTGGACTGAGTTAGGAGGAGCTGCTCAGCTTGGGTGATTTGGATGTTAGCCATACTTCTTTACTCCATAATTGAAAACAGAAATATAGCTGAAGATAGAAACATGATGTCTTTGGCATACAATAGTTATCTTCCACCTACCTAACAGGTCATATGCCTTAAATTATTCCTCTAGTGGAGATACTGAATTGGCAACAAGGGATTCATAGCCTCTTGCTTGACTGTTAAGTAACCAACGTTGCAATTTTAGTCTCTTGCAGGAAAAAATAATCTGATCTTTCTAGGGCTTAAATTAGCGACAGGGCTTCATTAATAATCTGCGTTGCATGAAGTAGTTAATTCATGTTAACTTGTTCTGTTATTCTAAAAAGGGGGAGAGAATGACTTTAAATACCTTTGTTTCAGCTTCTTCTTACTCATGTAGGAGTAGTAACAATTGTTGGATATGTGAAAATTACCAACTGAGTTAAAGAAGTAATGGTCTTGGGATTGGAGCATGAACAATTGAATAAAAACTTATGGGTAAGAGCATTATGTAGGCATGTAGACATTTGGCTGGGGCATGACTTCCATAAGTAAGTAAATGGGTAGAGCTTTGGGATACACTGTGATTCACTGTGTCTGGTGCAAGAGGTTTTTTTTTTTTGGTGGGAATTTTTTTAAGTTCAACTTTTATTTTCGATAAAGGGGGTACATGTAAAGGTTTACTATGTGGGTATATGCACCCAGGTAGTGAGCATAGTAACCAATAGGTAGTTTTTCTTTTTCTTTTGAGATGGAGTCTCACTCTGTTGCCCAGGCTGGAATACAGTGGCGTGATCTCAGCTCATTGCAACCTCCGCCTCCCGGGTTCAAGTGATTCTCATGCCTCAGTCTCCCAAGTAGCTAGGATAACAGGTGCCCACCACCACGTCCGGCTAATTTTTGTATTTTTAGTAGAGATGAGGCTTCACCTTGTTAGGCAGGCTGGTCTCGAATTCCTGACCTTAAGTAATCCACCCGTCTTGGCCTCCAAAAGTGCTGGGATTACAGGTGTGAGCCACTGCACCCGGCCCAATAGGTAGTTTTTCAATCCAAGCCCCGCTCCCTGTCTACGCTTTCTAGAAGTCCACAGTGTCTATTGTTCTCCTGTTTATGTCTAAGTGTGGTCAGTGGTTAGCTCCCACTTACAAGTGAGAAAGTGCAGTATTTGGTTTTCTGTTCCTGCATTAAGTGGCTTAGGATTATGGTCTCTATCTGCATCCATGTTGCTGCAAAGAATATGATTTCATTCATTCTTATGGATGTGTAGTATTCCATGGTATATTTGTACCACATTTTCTTTATTCAATGCACCATTGATGTGCACCTAGGTTGATTCCATGTCTTTGCTATTGTGAGTAGTGTGGCAATGAACATACACATGACACAATTCCCTCTTCTTAAGAAGAAAATGTCATATGTGCTCCATCTGGGAGGATGAGACCTTTCTACTCTATTGATTTCTACTTCTTTCTTTTATGCTGGTATGGCCCTGAGAGAATTCTTCCAAATCCTGGATGGCAGAGGCCTCATAGAATAATGGGAACAAAGCTGAAAGTTGGAGAAACCTGTGGAGAGGAAGTAGTTTCTAGGTTATTTTCCACGTTGTTGAGCACTGCAACTAGGAAAAATGACTTCAGTCTTCCTTGAACCTTAATTTCCTCATCTAGCAAATGAGAATACTGGGCCTGATATTGTCTGGGACTGGGTTATCTGCTATGAGGAATAGACCCAATTCTTGAGAATAATGTTAGAAAAACACAATCAAAGGCCTTGATGTCACTATCAAGATTCATCGTGACAAAATCAATTTTTATCTGATTTAAGGTAAACTTCCTCATCATTTGTGAAGTAGAGCCGTTCTGTGTTTCTGTGATTACTTACATGGCCTTAGTGGGGACAGATAGCAGGAAAGGTTCATTTATTTTTAAAATTTTCAGTTATTTAAATTTAGTTTTATTCAAATATATAATTTTATTTAAATTTGTAAGTAAACAGTAATCATGGGATTTTGTCATCTTTATTTTTCAATTTTGTTTCTTTGATTTTCTTTCCCTAATCCCACACAAATTTTAACATGCCCTTCCTTTTCCAGTAACCTACAAAACAATCAGATGGGTTTTCTCTCCTATTTCCCCTCTACTTAGATAAGCCTATACACACATATATGCATAAACATATATATATATTTTTTTCTTTATTTTTGCGTGTTTGGATTTAAGCAACACCAACATTTTCTTCTATATATATTTTTTTACCCAATAATACTTTGTTAAGATCGCCTCTGGCAGTTTTCATTCCCTCTTTTAAGTAGCTACATAACATTCCGTGGTGAAACTACCATACATTACTCAGCAACTCCTTTGCTAACAGGCCAATAACTATAGCTAATCCAGTTTTTAGCTATTTCCAACAATTTTGTAGAAGGTTTCCAGGAAGAATTTGGACGAGCTGAGTTAAAGATTTTATTACATTTTAACAGTTTTAATAGATTGTTCTTCAAGAAGGCTGTAGCACATTACCTTCTACCAACAATAGATGAGAATTCCTTTTCCCCATATCCCTATCAAGAGTAGGTGTAACACCTTTTAGTTTTTATCAGTCTGATGTAAAATCATTCACTTTAACTTTATTTTTTATTTAGCTAAATTTTCATTAGTATAAAAATCTTTTCATGTATTTGGTCATTTTAAATTTTTGTTCATAAATTATCAATTTTTATGTATATTCCTTTCCTGTACAATTCTTCCTGAATTGTCTTTCTTCCTTAGGAACTTGTAAACGTTCTTGGTATATTAAGGAAACTGTCCTTCTATCTTACATCTGTGTTATATTTCCTCATCAGATATATGACATTGACCTCATGGTATCTTTTTGGATATATGCATTTTCAGTTTTAATTTTTCAAAGAATTTTCAGTGTTTTTAAGTTTTAGTTTCTGAGTTTTCAGTCTTGAATAGGAATGTTTCCCTGAACTCTGTATTATATAATAGACTTCTTGATTTTCTTTCATGATATTTATTATATATAGTGTTTTAAAATTTAAGCTTTTAATCCACGTAAAAACTTTAAGATAGGAGCCCATTTTTGTTTTCTTCTGGGTGGATGAATGACTAGCTGTGTCATATTCAATTATTCACATGTTCATGTTCCTTTTCTCACTAATTTTGAACTACTGAACTTGCCACATACTTAACACACAGTGATTTAATTTTGATTTCTATTTTCTGTTCAAATATTTATAATTCTTTATATAGAAAGGCAAGTTTCCCTTCAGAATTCTTCTCTTCCTTTTTATAGCTTTATTGTCTGTTCTCAGGCATTTCTTCTTTCGTGTTAATTTTTTTCCTAATTGAAATGAGCTGTATACTAATTTTGAAAGAAATAACATTTCTATTGTATCAACTCTTCCATAACAACATTTTATACCTTTTCTTACTTATTTATTCTTATAGTTCTTTTAATATTCTTTGGTTTTATTAAGATAAATCCCCTCCTTTTCTTTTGAAGTCTATTCCTATTTGTTTTGTTCTGATTGCAAGTGGCTTTTCCTCACATATTCATATATGGTTACTTTTTGCTAGAATAGAGAATAGCTATTGATTTTTATATATTTGTCCTGCATCCATCCATCTTACAAAGCTCTATTCTTAGAAGGATAAGGTTTTTGTATTTCTTTTAAACTAATATCTCACAAGTTTTCTAGCTATAAAATAATATAAATTTTATCTTATCTTTTGATGTGTATATAAATTAGTTTTCTCATTTTATTACATTTACTGATGCTGCCAAGTCAATTTTGAATAGTAATGATGATCATAGATTTCTTTCTAGTTCTTGGTTTATATTGAAATAATTTTTGTTGTATATGGTATTTGTGTTTGGTTTTTGATAAATGACTAACCAACATGATTGGTTAATATAAATTGTTTCTTTCTGATGGTATGTAGTCTTTTTTATTAGGAATATATGAAGGTTTTAAAGTACTTTTCCAGAATCCATAATAATAGACTATTTTTTCTGATTTTATTTTTTGATATAGTAAGTTATGTTAATAAATTTCCTGATATTAAAACACTATTTCTTCCCTGAAATAAATTCAGCTTCTTCAAATATATTGATTTTTGTATTACCAACTGTTTTATAGGGTATTTAAAATTTTAATTTTTATTCATAAGATTGATCTATCATTTTCTTTTTTATATTACCTTTTCAACTTTTGATAATGAACTTACGCTGATTTAAAAAGTGAATTAGAGAGCCTTCTATTTCTTCCTATTGTTTAGAGAAATTTAAGCATTCTGTTTTCACAAGGTTGGGTATTTAATGACTTTCCTAATCTTCTCTGGCTTTGATATATCTTTGTTCTTAAATTTTTAGTAATTCATATTTGTCCGATAATTCATTTTATCCAGGACCCCAAAACTTGCTGCCCCATTGTTACAAGTAGAATTTCTTTCCTCTGTATCTCTGATTAGAGCCTTAGTCTCATGTCTAGGCTTCTTTATTTTTGTTTCTTCATGTTCTGGAACACAAAAGACTTTACTAACATATTAGTCTCTCAAATAACTAGGTTTGGATATGTTTATTTTTTTCTATTTCTATTTCCAAAATTTCAGCTTTTACTTTCGTCCTTCTTTTGGAGTCAGCCTCTTCTTCCCTCGCTCCCTCCTCACATTACCTTAGTTAAGTTCTTAGTTCTAGTTTTATCATCTTTAATTATGAAGACATTTAAGGCAATACATTTTCTCCTAAGTATCATTTTCATTGTGTCCTTTAAATTGTGGTATCATGTATGTTCATTTAAATTGCTTTGTAGATAAATTATAACTTCCATTTTAATTTTAGCTAGAGCTATATGGGTTTAAGTTTATTGTTGTTGTTTTTGCTTGTTTCCTTAATTCTGAATCAGCTAAGTTTCTTTGGTCACTTATTTTTTTCCCCTAATTTTATTGCCTGCAAGAATATGGCCTATAAACATCTATTATAAACTGATGGTTTTTTGTGGTCAAATATTTGATTGTTTTTGTGTACATTGTTAGAACTTACCAAAAAATGTGTTCATCGAAAAGATTTAGTGTTAATTCTTATAGTTTTACTTTTGTTTATTTTTTTATCTACTAGAATTGACTAATCTAGAGAGAGTTTTGTTTCCCATTATAATTATATGCTCTGTCAAATTCTTCCTGTCTTTCCCAATAGTTTTTGGCTTATATGTTTAGCCTACATATTATTTTGTTCATACGGTTTATGATCATTTTGTCTTTTTTTTTCCAATTCAAATTGTGTGTCTTTATCTTGTTCATGTTTTTAATCTGTAGAATCAAGTTGTTTGCTGTTAATTTTGGCTCTTCTGCTGTCATATGGTTTGCACTGACCTGGTATCTCTTTGTCCATTTTTTATATCAAAACCAGAGCTTTTCAACTTGGGTACCACTAATGTTTCAGGCCAGATAATTCTTAATTTTGGAGGCCTGTCCTGTGCATTGTATGATAGTAAGCAGCAACCCTGGCCTGATCTCTATTCACTAGATGCTGGGGGCATTCCTCTAATACCTCACATCCATTTCCAGTTGGACAATCAAAAACATCTCCAGACATTACAACATGTCCTCTGCAGGGAAGATCCACCCCCACCTCCTGCCTTTGCTGGAGGTCTGCTGCTTTACAACTTTAGGATCCCAGGTGTTGCACCCTAGGCCTGACAGTTCTATACATAGGTTGTTCTGAATATTTGTTGGGGGCAACTTCATCTAAGTCAGGTGTACCTAGAGTGACCAACCATTTACTTTGTCCTAACTGAAAAGATTCCTGTGATATGGGACTTTTAAATTTTATTTTATTATTACTATTTTTTAGAGATGGAGTCTCACTCTGTCGCCAGGCTGGAGTGCAGTGGCACCATCTTGGCTCACTGCAACCTCCGCCTCCCAGGTTCAAGCAATTCTCCTGCCTCAGCCTGCTGAGTGGCTGGGACTACAGGTGCACACCACCATGCCCAGCTAATTTTTGTATTTTCAGTAGAGACACAGTTTCACCATGTTGGCCAGGATGGTCTTGATCTCTTGACCTCATGATCTGCCTGCCTCAGCCTCCCAAAGTGCTGGGGTTACAGGCGTGAGCCACCGTGCCCAATCTGTGATATGCAACTTTCAGTGCTAAAACCAGGAAACCCTTGGGAAACCTTAAATTCTGTTGTTATACAATATAGACTTGACCAAAGAGAACAGTACAGTAAGATCCACTCAGTCACCAAAGCAGTTCTCATTTTTCACTCTCAGTTTCCCCAAGTAACATGTCCTCATCTAAGTATGTTCTGAACTCAGAATTGTGAAATTATATTAAAAATCTTATATGTATCTGAGAATAATGCTAACATGCCCCTGGACAGCTATAAAGCCTATCCTATGCCCTCTTATATGTAATCACATCTATACATTTAACATATTTATTGTTTATTATTGTTTACTCTTTGTCTTGAAATCCCTTTCTGGATTATTTTTTGTTGCATTAGTCCTCTTCCCACCCCTCACGGTATTTTTCTTAGGCAGGATGCTTGGGTAAAATACTTTCTGAATTTCTGCTTATCTTTGTGTAACTTGATTTTACTCTCATAGGTGAATGGTAATTTAGCTAGGTGGAGAATTCTTGAGTTTCAGTTCTTTTCTCTCATGAGTCTTTTCTTACAAAGACTTCAAGTTTCTCAGGTTGCATATGAACAGAAAGATGCCAGTTTGATTCTTTTTGATTTGTGCTTATGTTTTCTTTATTGTCCTTGTTTTATTTTTTAAAAACAATAAGCACACATATTCTTCTATATCTATTATCTCTTTACTGCTACTACAAAGATCTTTTGATGGTGGAGAGACAGTGTATTGGGGAATGAACAGAACTGCCTTCCATCTTCTTTAGCCTAAGGTTAAATATTAATTTTTCTACAAATATTTTGTCTGGTTTTAGGGAATTC